>NC_000006.12:29150909-29453939 GCF_000001405.40 Homo sapiens
GCCAGGTAAATTAAAGACATATCTTTATAAGTTTATACATATATCTTTATAAAAGGTATATAAAATATTTCACTTTTCATTCTTTTTTGGTATTTTGGTATTTCAGGAGATTTGATTTTTTTTGTTCTGATGCTTATATTTACACATTAGTCCCTCTTTTAGGCATCATTGATTGGTTTTCTAAAATGAGCACTATATTTATTTATTTATTTAATTTTTCAATATATTATAGTTGTACATATTTTGGGGTAGATGTGTTTTCTTACACATATACAATGTGTAATGATTAAATCAGAGTGATTATAATATCTATCACCACAAACACTTTGTGTTGTGAAAATTACAATTTTTTTCTAGCTATTTTGAAATATACAATATATGTTATGCTAATATTAATAAATGTTAGTTGTATTTTCTCTACTGTATTATCAAATACTAAAAATTATTCCTTGTATCTAACTCTATTTTTGTATCCACTAACAAACTCTTTTTCATCTGTTTTTCCTTGCATCCATTTGCAGACTCTGATAAGCACCATTCTACCCTTGACCTTCATAAGATCCACTTTTTTTAGCTCCTGCATACCAGTGAGAACATGATATATTTGTATTTCTGTTCATGGTTTATTTCACTTAACATAATGACTTCCAATTTTATCCATGTTGCTACTAATGAAAGGATTTCATTATTTTTTATGGTTGAATGATATTCCATCATGTATATATATTACATTTTCTTTATCCATCCTTCTCTTGCTAGACACTGGTGTTGCATTCTTTGTGTGTTTCTATAGGTGAAGTGAGGTTCTTTTTTTCTTTCCAATTTTTTTTTTGCTTTTTTTTATTTTTAATTTTTTTATTATACTTTAAGTTTTAGGGTACATGTGCACAACGTATTTCAGGTTCAAGTGGTACATGTGCAGGTTTGTTACATCAGTAAATTTTTTGTTATGGGGGTTTGGTGTACAGATAATTTTGTCACCCAGGGAATTAGCATTATACCCATTAAGTAGCTTTTCTTTTTTTTTAAACTTTAATTTTAGGTTCAGGGTACCTGTGCAGGTTTGTTATATAGGTAAATTGTGTGTCACATGGGTTTGGTGTACAGATTATTTTGTCACCCATGTAATAAGTGTGGTAACCAATGGGTTGGTTTTGATCCTCACCTCCCCCATCATAGGCCCCAGTTTCTATTGTTCTTTTCTTTGTGTCCTTATGTACTCAATATTTAACTCCCAATTATAAGTGAGAACATGCCATACTGGGGTTTCCATTCCTTCACCAATTTGCTTAGGATGATAGCTTCCAGCTCCATCCCTATTACTGCAAAGACCAAAGTCTCGTTTTTTATAGCTGCATAGTATTCTGTGGTATATATGTTTTCTGTATCCAGTCCACCACTGATGGACAACTAGGTTGATTCTGTGACTTTGATATTGTAAATAGTGCTGCACTGAAAATCTGCATGCATATTGCTTTATGGCAGAATGATTTATATTACTTTGGTTATACACCTAGTAATGGGATTGCTGGATCAAGTGGTAGTTCTATTTTAAGTTATTTGAGAAATCTCCAGACTTCTTTCTACAGTGGCTGAACTAGTTTTCATTTCCACCAGTGGTATATAAATGTTCCCTTTTCTCCACCACCTCACCAGCAAATGTTATTTCCTAACTTTTTAATAGTAGCCATTTTGACCGGTGTGGGACAATATCTCATTGTGGTTTTGATTTGCATTTCTCTGGTGATTAGTGATATTGAACTTTTTAATATACTTGTTAGATGTGTATATCTTCTTTTGAGAAGTGTCTGTTCATGCCATTTGCTCGTTTTAAAAATAGAGTTGTTTGTTTTTCACTTTTTTATTTGTTTAAGTTCCTTATAGATTCTGGATATTAGACCTTTGCCAGATGCATAGTTTGCAAATATTTTCTCCCATTCTGTAAGTTGTGTGTGTATTCCGTTGATAGTTTCTTTTGCTATGCAGAAGCTCTTTAGTTTAATTATATTCTATTTGTCAATTTTTGGTTTTGTTGTGATTGCTTTTGGAGTCCTCGTCTTGAAGTCTTCGTGAAAGTCGATGTCCAGAATGGTATTTCCTAGAATTTCTTCTATTGTTTTTATACATTTGGGTTGTACATTTAAGTCTTTAATCTATCTTGAGTTTATTTTTGTGTATGGTAAAAGGAACAGGTTCAATTCCAGTCTTCTACATATGGCTAGCCTGCTATGCCAGCACTATTTATTGAAGAGTTTCTGGCAGGCAGCAGGCAGCATATAATTTGGTCTTGTTTTTAATTCATTTAACCATTGTATGTCTTTTAAATAGAATGTAGTCTGTTTACATTCAATTTTATTTTTGATAGTTCATGCCTTAGTACTGCCATTTTGTTACTTGTTTTCTAATTTCGTAATTCCTCTCTTCCTTCCTTCCTTCCTTTCCTTCCTTCCTTCCTGCCTTCCTCTCTTTCTCTCTTTCCCCCTCTCCCTCCCCTTCCCCTTCCCCTTCCTTCCTTCCTTCCTTCTTTCCTTTTTTCCTTGTTATTTTCCTCTGGTAGTATGTTTTAATTTGTTGCTTTTTATTGTTAGTGTATCCATTATAAGTTTTTGCACTGTGGTGTCCATGAGGCTTACAAAAAGTATCCTATAATATAACATGTAGTATAAAACTGATAGCAACTTAACTTTGCTCTCAAAAATAAAAACAAACTTCCAACTAAAAACTTATACACATTAACTCCATTCTTCACCCATATTTTGAATTTTGATGTTGCAATTTACATTTTTTATATTGCCTATCTCTTAAAAATTGTTGTAGTTATTATTTTAAATTGTTTTTAGTTTTCTTACTAAATAGGTAAGTGGTTTAAATATAATACTTCATTTTTAGTATGACAATCACATTAACATTCTTTCAGTTTGGTGAACTTCCTTTAGCAGTTCTCGTAGGACAGGTTTGGTAGTGATAGAATGAGCATTATTGAAATAGTTAATAACCTCTTCTTTCCTCCATTTCTCCAGCATCTATTTCAAAATGACAATTGATACAATATGTACTTTTTATTTATACAATATATACATACATACTTTTTACACAATTTATTTATACAATATATACATATTTATACTCTATATATATACAATTTATACAATATATACTTTTTAAAAGTTTGGAATGTTGTTATCCTCCTCTAGATAGAATTTATTTTTGCTTTTGGGAAGTAATTAAAGTAGGAAAACATCCCTAATTTTGAATGGGGTGGATAGAATTGGGTCATACATTGCTGGTAGGAGCGTAAAATGACACAGACACTTTGGAACACTGTTTTGTGGTTTCTTTAAAAGTTACACATACCTTATGGCCCATTCATTCAACTCTTAAATATCTGTTCAAGAGAAGTAAAAACATTTGCTCAAATGAAGACCTGTGCTGAATATTTATAGCCACTTTTTTCAAAATACTGTGGCGAAAACCTAGAATTACTGTAAGTATCTGTCAACGGATGTAATGAATAAATTATACTATATCCTTATTATTGAACATTACTAGTAATGAAAACAAAACAATGTGCTGGCCTGCAACCATTTTAGATGAATTTCAAAATATTTTTGCTGAATGCAGAAAGCAAGACTCAAAATAATACACACTATGTAGATCTATCACTAAGAATTCAAGAACATGCAAACTTATCTATGAGGGCATAAATTAGAGTAGTAGTTGACTAAGTCTGAAATCAAAAGACAAAATAGATTTTGGAGAGTGATGGAAATGTTCTCTACCTTGATTGAGGTATTGGTATCATGGGTATATACAACTATAAAAATACTGACTTGCATACTTTAAATTATGTAGTTTATTTTGCATATGCTATCATCAGCAAAGGTGATTATATACTCTAGATTGCAGTCATTTTTAGGGCTGGCCTATATTCAGTCTATGGTTATTCATAGGTTGCAGCCATTCACCCATTCTAGCTGAAAGTCTTGGGTATTTATATGGGCCAAAATTTCCATTATTTGTCTCCCCAGAAATGTAAAATCATATAAGCCCTGTTTCTTAGCCTCTTAGTCACCAGATTCTGTTCTGATGTATAGCTGGTGCAAAAAACAAATATCTTTTTAAAAATATTTTTATTATACTTTAAGTTCTAAGGTACATGTGCACAATGTGCAGGTTTGTTACATAGGTATACATGTGCCATGTTGGTTTGCTGCACCCATCAACCTGTCATTTACATTAGGTATTTCTCCTAATGCTATCCCTCCCACAGCTCCCCACCCTCTAACAGGCCCCAGTGTGTGATGTTCCCCATCCTGTGTCCAAGTGTTCTTATTGTTCAATTCCCACCTATGAGTGAGAACATGTGGTCTTTGGTTTTCTATCCTCGTGATAGTTTGCTGGGAATGATGGTTTCCAGCTTCATTCATGTCCCTGCAAAGGACATCAACTCACCCTTTTTTGTGGCTGCATAGTATTCCATGGTGTATATGTGCCACATTTTCTTAATCTAGCCTATCATTGATGGACATTCCAAGTCTTTTCTATCATGAATAGTGCTACAATACACATATGTGTCCATGTGTCTTTATAATAGCATGATTTATAATCCTTTGGGTATATACCCAGTAATGGGATCACTGGGTCAAATGGTATTTCTAGTTCTAGATCTTTGAGGAATCACCACACTGTCTTCCACAATGGTTGAACTAATTTACGTTCCCATCAACAGTGTAAAAGTGTTCCTATTTCTTCACATCCTCTCCAGCATCTGTCCTTTCCTGACTTTTCAATGATTGCCATTCTAACTGGTATGAGATGGTATCTCATTGTGGTTTTGATTTGCATTTCTCTGATGACCAGTGATGATGAGCATTTTTTATGTGTCTGTTGGCTGCATAAATGTCTTCTTTCAAGAAGTGTTTGTTCATATCCTTTGCCCACATTTTGATAGGGTTGTTTATTTTTTTCTTGTATATTTGTTTAAGTTCTTTGTAGATTCTGGATATTAGCCCTTTGTTAATTGGGTAGATTGCAAAAATTTTGTCCCATTCTGTACATTGCTTGTTCACTCTGATGGTAGTTTCTTTTGCTGTGCAGAAGCTCTTTAGTTTAATTAGATCCCATGCATCTATTTTGGCTTTTGTTGCCATTGCTTTTGGTGTTTTAGTCACGAAGTCTTTGCCCATGCCTGTGTCCTGAATGGTATTGCCTAGGTTTTCTTCTAGGGTTTTTATGGTTTTAGGTCTAACATTTAAGTCTTTAATCCATCTTGAATTAATTTTTGTATAGGGTGTAAGGAATGGATCCAGTTGCAGCTTTCTACATGGTGGCTAGCCAGTTTTCCCAGAAAATATTATAAACAACTCTATGGAAATAAACTAGAAAATCTAGAAGAAATTGATAAATTCCTGGACACATACACCCTCCCAAAACTAAACCAGGGAGAAGTTGAATCTCTGAATAGACCACTAACAGGTTATGAAATTGAGGCAATGATTAATAGCCTACCAACCAAAAAAAGTCCAGAACGAGATGGATTCACAGCCGAATTCTACCAGAGGTACAAGGAGGAGCTGGTACCATTCCTTCTGAAACTATTCCAATCAATAGAAAAAGAGAGAATCCTCCCTAACTCATTTTATGATGCCAGCATCATCCTGATACCAAAGCCTGTCAGAGACACAACAAAAAAAAAGAGAATTTGTATTTCTGTGGGATCAGTAGTGATATCTCCTTTATTATTTTTTAATAGATCTATTTGATTTTTCTCTTTTCTTCATTATTAGTCTTGCTAGCAGTCCATCAATTTTGTGGATCTTTTCAAAATCCACCTCCTGGATTAACTGATTCAGATTTTCTATTTTTTCATGATTCATTGTTGTTATGTTTCTAGAAATCTAACCATTTCTTCTAGGTCATCCTATTTGTTGGTGTAAAATTGTTCGTAGTATTCTTTTATGATCTTTTGTACTTCTGTAGTTTCAATTTTAATGTCTCCTCTTTCATTGCTTATTTTGTTAGAGTCTTCTTTTTTTTCTTAGTTGGTCTGCTAAAGTTTTGTCAATTGTTTTTATCTTTTCAAAAACTGAACTGTTAGTTTTGCAAATGTGTTCTTTTGTTTTCTAGTCTCTTACTTATTTCTGCTCTGATCTTTGTTATTTCCTTCCTTCTGCTAACTTTGGGATTAGTTTGCTCTTCTCTTTTTCTAGCTTCTTGAAATGTAACATTAGGTTGTTTGTTTGGGATCTTTCTTCTTTTTTAATATCGGCATTTATTACTATAAACTTTCCTCCTGCTAAGAACTTCTTTTGTTACATCCCATAAGTTGTGGTACGTTGCATTTTCATTTTCATCTGTCTTAAGATATTTTTTAATTTCCCTTTTGATTTCTTCATTAACCCTTTGTTTATTCAAGAGCGTGTTGGTTAATTTCCACGTATGTAATATTTTCAAATTTTATCGTATTATTTATTTCTATTCATTTCTACTTTCATACTTTTGTGGTCAGAAAAGATACTTGATATGATTTCAGTCTTCTTAAAACTGTTGAGTCTTATTTTGTTACCTTATTTGGATAATGTCCCATTTGCACTTGAGAAGAATGAATATTCTGTTGCTGTTGGATGGAATGTTCTATATATGTCTGTTAGGTCCACTTGGTCTAAAGTGTATGTCAAGTCCAGTGTTTCCTTATTGATTTTTGTCTAGATGATATGTCCACTGTTGAAAGTAAAGTATTGAAATCCTCTGCTATTATTGTATTGCAGTCTATCTCTTTTCAGGTCTACTAATGCTTTCTTTATATGTATAGGTGATCTTATATTAGGTGCATATATATTTACAATTGTTAAGTCCTTTTCATGAATTGACCCTTTTATCATTACATAATGACCTTCTTTGTCTCTTTTAACAGTTTTGGACTTAAAGTTCATCTCATAAAAGTACAGCTACCCTTGTCTTTTGCTTTCCACTTGCATGAAATAATTTTTTCAATCAATGTGTGTTCTTCAAGTTAAAGTGAACCTCTTACAGGCAGCCTACGTCTGCATATTGTTTTTCAGTTTCTTTCCAATGCAAAGCATTTTAGTAGGTTGTCAAATATACAATTATTAGAAATATCTAAATATTACCTGTAAAAACTAGTATATCACATTAGATAATTCTATAAAATAAGGAAACACAAATCACACATTGCCACAACCTCTGCAGTCCAATAATATCCCCCGTTGATAGTACAAATTACAAATACATTTTTAAAATAAAGACATGATTTCGACATTTAAACCAAAGTAACTATGGCTAACCTAAATACATTCATTCATCAAGTACAATAAATTAAGCATTGCTACTTATAGTCACTAATAACAAAATTTTAGGTTCAATTTTACCTAAAATTTCATAAATCTTCCAATACAGTTCCCATAGTAAAGTGTCTTTGTGTGTGCCATTTTAATTTATATGCGGGTGCATCATATATCAGACTTAAGACTATTTCACTTCATAATTAAATTGTTCATACATATATATTGAAAGTGAACACCCGGCCAAAATTTAATCCCAATGATGACAAAATGTAAAATTGTTTTAAATTCTTGAATGCATATACTGATTTGTTTAATTGCCTGCATACTACTTTTTTTAATTAGAGACTATCAAAGTAAGTAATAAGAATTTAAATATTAACTCAAAAAAAGATGAAGCCTTCAACCTTCCTACAATAGTAACAAGCATTTTAAATAACAATACAAGGAGTCTGTAAGCTAAAAAGTAACTTCATATTCATTGCAAAACTTAAAATACCAGTGAATTGAAGATAAGATTGAGGTCTAAAATATTTGTACTGTATTGTAAAATACAATTTAAAATGTGCAGTTAATTTGCTTGTGGACATGTAATGGAATGTTTTTCAACAGTAATGTTATGTTAAACACACTTTAAATGGTCACTCTAAGCAAACATAACCTTACTAGCAAGAAAAGCGAAAAATTAAGGCTTTCATGCTATCTATATCTACTACACAAAGTCAAAAGTCAAATAGAGCTTACAATGTGGCAAAATATTTCTAACTTCTGTGACATTAGTTGCTTCACCTCAACTCAATACTTATCATCTTATCTTTATACAAACTCAAATGCTAGTTATCTTTACTATCCATAAATACAAATTAAACTAAGGAGCTTCCGCACAGCAAAAGAAACTATAAATAGAATAAACAGACAACTTACGGAAGGTGAGAAAAGATTCACAAACTATGCATACAACAAAGGTCTAATATCCAGAATCTATAAGGAACTTAAATCAACAAACATAACCCCATTAAAAAATTAACAAATGACAAAGGATGAACAGACACTTCTCAAAAGAAGACATAAAGGTGACCAATAAACATATGGAAAAAATTGTTCATCATTACTAATCATCAGAGAAACGGAAATCAAAACCACAATGAGATTCCATCTCACACCAGTCAGAATGGCTGCTATTTAAAAGTCAAAAAACAACAGATATTGCGGAGGCTGCAGAGAAACTCGAACGCTTATACACTGTTGGTGAGAATGAACATTAGTTCAGCCACTGTGGAAAGCAGTTTGGAGAATTTTCCAAAAGAACTAAAAACAGAGCTACCATTGGACCCAGCAATTCCATTACCGCGTATTTAGTCAAAGGAAAATATATCATTATACCAAAAGGACACACGCACTCATGTTCATGGCAGCACTATTCACAATAGCAGAGACATAGAACCAACCTAGGTGCCCATCAGTGGTGGATTGGATAGAGAGAATGTGGAGTTCCGGCAGAGACCCGGGTGAGACGCGCTGACCATGGGCCTGCGGAGGGGCTGGGGGTTCAGGACCTCCCGCAGCCTCTGCCCTGCAGGCTCCAGGTGCCCTCGCTGTGGCTCCCCTCGCGGGCCCAGGCCTGAAGAAGCCGCGAACCTCTCTTCCCTACCCCACCTCGGTGACAGATGGCAGCTCCTCTCTCAGCCCAGACCCCGCCGGCCTCCATGTCTCCCGGCCCAGCCCTGCGGGGCCTAAACTAAGCCCCTGCCGAGCTGCTAGGATGCAGCGCATTTGAGTGGCTGCGGGCGTGGGGGGCCGGGAAGCATGGTGACCGCCCCAACTCGCAGCGGAGGCCGTTAGGGTGTGGAGGGCGCGGGAAGGTGGGTCGCCTGCCACTGGGGCGCGGGCAGATCGGACCGCTCTGTCCCAACTGGTCGAGACCGACCTAGTCCTGACGACAGGAACAACGGTATTAACAACGGCCGGAAGGTGAGCGGTGTCCCAGACAACGACGGATAGCGGCCACCTGGCCACTGGTCTTCCTTCTCTACCAGACCTGTATGTGGGAAGAGAGAAGTGGTGGAACAACAGGCCACATTTGGCGCATTGGAGATGAAATTCTTGGTTGAAAATTCTTTTCTTTAAGAATGTTGAATATTGGCCCCCACTCTCTTCTGGCTTGTAGGGTTTCTGCAGAGAGATATGCTGTTAGTCTGATGGGCTTCCCTTTATAGGTAACCTGACCCTTCTCTCTGGCTGCCCTTAACTTTTTTTCCTTCATTTCAAGCTTGGAGAATCTGACAATTACGTTTCTTGGGGTTGCTTTTCTCGAGCAGTATCTTAGTGGTGTTCTCGTATTTCCTGAATTTGAATGTTGGCCTGTATTGCTACCTTGTGGAAGTTCTCCTGGATAATATCCTGAAGCTGTTTTCCAGCTTGGTTCCATTCTTCTCGTCACTTTCAGGTAAACCAATCAAACATAAGTTTGGTCTTTTCACATAGTCCCATATTTCCTGGAGGCTTTGTTTGTTCCTTTTCATTCTTTTTTCTCTAATCTTGTCTTCACACCTTATTTCAGTAAGTTGGTCTTCAGTCTCTAATATCCTTTCTTCTGCTTGATCGATTTGGCTATTGATCCTTGTGTATATCTTACAAAGTTCTCGTGCTGTGTTTTTCAGCTCCTCAGGTCATTTATGTTCTCCTCTAAACTGGCTAGTCTAGTTAGCAGTTTCTGTAACCTTTTATCAAGGTTCTTAGCTTCCTTGCATTGGGTTAGAACATGCTCCTTTAGCTCAGAGGAGTTTGTTATTACACACCTTGTGAAGCCTACTTCTGTCATTCATCAATCTCCTTCTCCAGTTTTGTGCCCTTGCTGGAGAGGAGTTGAGATCATTTTGAGTAGAAGAGGCATTCTGGTTTTTGGAATTTTCAGCGTTTTTATGCTAGTTTTTCCTCATCTTTGTGGATTTATCTACCTTTGATCTTTGAGGCTGATGACTTTGGATGGGGTTTTTGTGTGACGGTCCTTTATGTTGATGTTGACGTTGTTTCTGTTTGTTAGTTTTCCTTATAACAGTCAGGCCCCTCTTCTGCGGGTCTGCTGCAGTTTGCTGGAAGTGTACTCCAGACCCTGTTTGCCTGGGTATCACCAGCAGAGGCTGTAGAACAGCAAAGATTGCTTCCTGCTCCTTCCTCTGGAAGCTTCGTCCCAGAAGGGCACTGGCCTGATGACAGCTGGAGCTCTCCTGTGTGAGGTTCTGTCAACCCCTGTTGGGAGTTGTCTCCCAGTCAGGAGGCATGGGGGTTAGGGACCCACTTGAGGAGGGAGTGTGTCCCTTAAGAGAACTGGTGTGCTGTGCTGGGAGAATCCCTCTTGTCAGGATCAGCTGCTGTCTTCAGAGCAGGCAGGCAGGAACGATTAAATCTGCTTGTGCTGTGCCCACAGCCACCTCTTCCCCAGGTGCTCTGTCCCAGGGAGATGGGGGTTTTGTCTGTAAGCCTCTGACTGGGGCTGTTACCTTTCTTTCAGAGATGCCCTGCCCAGTGAGGGGGAATCTAGAGAAGCAGTCTGGCCACAGCTGCTTTGCTGCACTGTGATGAATTTGCCAGTCCATACCTCCGAGACTCCTTGGAACTGTCAGGGAAAATGGCCTACTAAAGCCTCAGTAATGGCAGACGTCCCTCATCCCATGAAGCTCAATTGTCCTAGGTTGACTTCAGACTGCTGTGCTGGCAGTGAGAATTTCAAGCCAGTGGTTCTTAGCTTGCTAGGTTCTGTGGGAGTGGGACCTGCTGAGCGAGACCACTTGGCTCCCTGGCTTCAGCCTCCTTTCCAGGGGAGTAAATGGTTCTGTCTCGCTGGGGTTCCAGGCATCACTAGGGTAGGAAAAATACTCCTTCATCTAGCTCTGTGTCTGCCCAAATGGCCACCCAGTTTTGTGCTTGAAACCTAAGGCCCTGGTGGTGTAGGCACACAAGGGAATCTCCTGATCTACAGATTGCAAAAACCATGGGAAAAGTGTAGTAACAAGCTAGGCAGCACTGTCCCTCATGGCTCCCCTGGCTCGGGGAAAGAGGTCCCCTGGCCTCTTGAACTTCCTGGGTAAGCAACTCCCCACCCTTCTTCTGCTTGCCCTCCATGGGTTTGACCTGCTGCCTAACCAGTCCTAATGAGAGGAACGGGGTACCTCAGTTGGAAATGCAGAAATCACCTGCCATCTGGATTGGTCTTGCTGGGAGCTGCAAACCAGAACTGCTCCTATTTGGCCGTCTTCGGCTTCATCCTTTTGTGTTTTTAAGAACAGTCTTCCCTATGAATTTTACCAAAAAGTGTACTCAGTACAGTAGTTTACTAACTCTACTTTTGTCATACACTAGAAACATCTTAATATCTACAAAGACTAGATGTTGAAAATTAGGACTAATTTGTCCACTTATATGCACTATATACACAGCACAGTAAAAGAAAATGCAGACATAAGGGACAATGGTAAAGTGTGCCTCACCATAAACACACTGGTATTTGAATTACCTTTTGCCCTTTCTGCTCCTCTTTCCTCCCTGAGCCAACACACATATAGTAATGTGTACTGCTCAGATAAGTGGTTTGATCCATTTCCCAAAGACAATATTTCATATGAATCAAAAGGATATCTACAAAGTGTTATTTACTCCCTCTACTTTTAACATACTTTGTGCACTTCTAGAAAGACTAGATGTTTCAAATAAGGACTTAAATTTGTCCACTATATACACAGGTAACAATGGTTATATCTGAAAGTGTCTTCTAAATAGGAACATTCTGGTCTAAAATCTTTCATTCCTTCTAACTCCTCTCTACCACCAACCTAGTGGATATAGGCATATGTGTCATTTAGAACTGATGTTATCATTTCACTTCCAAAAGTCCTTTTCAGAAGATAGCCTTTCTATGAATTTCAACAAAGTGTACAAAAATAGAGTTAGTAAACTAACTCTCATAAATTGTTATAAATTGGCAACCTCTTTAATATCTAGAGACTAGACTAGATATTATAAAATTAAGACTACTTCATCCAGTATACACACAATATATACAGTATAGCAAAGTTAAATGCAATGCATGTAACATATAGGTAATGGATTAAGCTGAAATTTTCTAGTAAACATTAGCAAAACACTTTTTATTTTTTATTTTTTATTATTATACTTTAAGTTTTAGGGTACATGTGCACATTGTGCAGGTTAGTTACATATGTATACATGTGCCACGCTGGTGCGCTGCACCCACTAACTCGCATCTAGCATTAGGTATATCTCCCAACGCTATCCCTCCCCCCTCCCCCCACCCCACAACAGTCCCCAGAGTGTGATATTCCCCTTCCTGTGTCCATGTGATCTCGTTGTTCAGTTCCCACCTATGAGTGAGAATATGCGGTGTTTGGCTTGGATGAAATTGGAAATCATCATTCTCAGTAAACTATCGCAAGAGCAAGACACTTTTTGCAATATCTTCCTTCCAATCTCCCTCAACCCAATGAACATGTACAGAGAGGACGCTGTTCACAGAGGTGGTTCAACAATGCCAGTTCCAAAAAGTATTTCTCATTACTTTTAAAAGATATTTACAGAAAGTGTTATTCTACTACTTCTATTTTTAAATACACCAAGCACTTCCAAATATCTAGAAAGATTAAATATTTCATATAACTTGTCCACCATGTACATGGCACTGTTAAATAAAATTGCACACACATAACAACAGTTATAATCTGAGGTATCTTCTAAACATGACCATTTTGGCCTTGAAGTAGTCCTTCCTTTCTTCTCTCTGCCTTTATTTCAGTAGACAAGTATAGGCATGTGTCATACTTTAGAAATGGTTGAACAAATTTAGATCCAAAAGTTATTTACAGAAGACAAGGTTTCCTATGAATTTCAACACAAAGCTTACAAAAAGTGCTAATTTTACTAAGTACTTTGTCATACACTGCCAGCCTCTTTAACATCTAGAGACTAGATGTTGCAAAATTAGGACTCATTTGTTCATTATATGCGCTATATACAGAGCAAAACACAATGCACAAAACATACAGAAAAATGGTGCCTGAAAATGTGCAAGTATGAGCACACTAGCATGTTACCTTTTGCAGTTTCATCCGTCCCAGCTCCTCTAAACTACTGAGCAAGTATAGACAGTACTATACCACTCACAAAGATGGCTTAATAATTCAATTTCCAAAACACAGTATTTCCTATGAATTTCAGCAAAAAGACATTTACAAAGTGAAATTTTGCTACCTCTACATTTAACATACATCAGGCCCTTCTAAACATCTAAATAGACTAGCGGTTTCAGGTAAGAAGTTAATCTGTCCACTATGTACACTGCAGCCTTGAATAAACTGCATACATGTAACAATAGTTATAATTTGAAGGAGTCTTCCAAATGTGAACATTCTGGCCTAAAAATCTTTCCATCTCCATCAACCCAGTGGGCAAGAATGCTCAAGTTTTCAGAAGACAATCTTCCCTAGGAATTTAAAAACAAAATGTACAAAAATATTAGTTTACTAACTCTACTTTTGTAATTCACTGGCAACCTCCATAACATCTAGAAAGACTAGATGTAAATTAGGACTTGTTTTCCTCTATATACACTTTATACATAGATAAGTAAAAGAAAATGCACAAACATAAGATATAATGGTTAATCTTGCCTCACTGTAAGCACACTGGTGGCACAGAGCTCTCTGCACAGCCTCCTCCTCCTCCTCTCCTGAACTGGCGCATAATACAATGCATATTACTCAACTTGTGGTTTGGCCATTCCCCCTAAAACAATGTTTCATTCGAATTTTAACAAAAAGATACTTACAAAATGTGTTATTTTACTACTTCTAGTTTAAACATATATCAGGCACCTCAGAACATCTAGAAACACTAGACATTTCAAAAAAGTGTAGCATTGTCAATGATCTATACAGTAGTAGGGAATAAAATGCACACAAAACAATGGAAAGAATATGAGAATGTCTTCTGAATATGACTAGTCTGGCACAGAACCTTCTTCTTTTCCTTCTCAGGTCTTCTTCTTCATGCCCTCTAACCCACTGAACAAATGTGGTTGTGTCTGTCGTTCCTGGTATGGCTTCCAGAAGTGGTCCAACAATTCCATTGCGAAAAGCCATTTCCAGAAGACATCTATTTTCTATCATTTCTTTTTGAACAAATGAGAATTTATAAGATGTGTGATTTTCTAACTTTATCATACATCACAACCTCTTTCCATCTAGAAGGGCTAAATGTGGCAAATGTTTTCTATTTAAAAGTTGGGGCGGGGGCAGTTGAGAGCCGCTTTCTCACTTTACACACGCAGGGCCTTCTATAAACGGTGGTAATTAAATCTTCCCAAAGGGTAGTGGGCATCTCCAATACGCCAAATGTGGCCTGTTCCACCACTTCTCTCTTCCCACATCCAGGTCTGGTAGAGAAGGAAGACCAGTGGCCAGGTGGCCGCTATCCGTCGTTGTCTGGGACACTGCTCACCTTCCGGCCGTTGTTAATGCCGTTGTTCCTGTCGTCAGGACTAGGTCGGTCTCGACCAGTTGGGACAGAGCGGTCCGATCTGCCCGCGCCCCGGTGGCAGGCGACCCACCTTCCCGCGCCCTCCACACCCTAACGGCCTCCGCTGCGAGTTGGGGCGGTCACCATGCTTCCCGGCCCCCCACGCCCGCAGCCACTCAAATGCGCTGCATCCTAGCAGCTCGGCAGGGGCTTAGTTTAGGCCCCGCAGGGCTGGGCCGGGAGACATGGAGGCCGGCGGGGTCTGGGCTGAGAGAGGAGCTGCCATCAGTCACGGAGGTGGGGTAGGGAAGAGAGGTTCGCGGCTTCTTCAGGCCTGGGCCCGCGAGGGGAGCCACAGCGAGGGCACCTGGAGCCTGCAGGGCAGAGGCTGCGGGAGGTCCTGAACCCCCAGCCCCTCCGCAGGCCCATGGTCAGCGCGTCCCACCCGGGTCTCTGCCGGAACTCCACATTGTCTCTATCCAATCCACCACTGATGGGCAGGCCTATGTCTCTGCTGTTGTGAATAGTGCTGCCATGAACATGAGTGCGTGTGTTCTTTTGGTATAATGATATATTTTCCTTTGACTAAATACGCAGGAATGGTATTGCTGGGTCCAATGGTAGCTCTGTTTTTAGTTCTTTTGGAAAATCTCCAAACTGCTTTCCACAGTGGCTGAACTAATGTTCATTCTCACCAACAGTGTATAAGCGTTCGCGTTTCTCTGCAGCCTCCGCAATATCTGTTGTTTTTTGACTTTTAAATAGCAGCCATTCTGACTGGTGTTAGATGATATCTCATTGTGGTTTTGATTTGCATTTCTCTGATGATTAGTAATGATGAACAATTTTTTCATCTAGACAGAAATCAATAGGGAAACACTAGACTTGACATACACTTTGGACCAAATGGACCTAAAGACGTTATAGAACATTTCATCCAACAGCAACAGAATATTCATTCTTCTCAAGTGCAAATGAGACATTATCCAGGATCAAATATTAGGTAACAAAATAAGACTCAACAATTTTAAGAAGATTGAAATCATATCAAGTATCTTTTCTGACCACAAAATTATGAAAGTAGAAATGAATAGAAATAAATAATAGGGGAAAATTTGAAAATATTACAAATGTGGAAATTAACCAACATGCTCTTGAATAAACAATGGGTTAATGAAGAAATCAAAGGGAAGTTAAAAAATATCTTAAGACAGATGAAAATGAAAATGCAACGTACCACAACTTATGGGATGTAACAAAAGAAGTTCTTAGCAGGAGGAAAGTTTATAGTAATAAATGCCGATATTGAAAAAGAAGAAAGATCTCAAACAACCTAATGTTACATTTCAAGAAACTAGAAAAAGAGAAGAGCAAACTAATCCCAAAGTTAGCAGAAGGAAGGAAATAACAAAGATCAGAGCAGAAATAAGTAAGAGATTAGAAAACAAAAGAACACATTTGCAAAACTAACAGTTCAGTTTTTGAAAAGATAAAAACAATTGACAAAACTTTAGCAGACCAACTAAGAAAAAAAAGAAGACTCTAATAAAATAAGAAATGAAAGAGGAGACATTAAAATTGAAACTACGCAAGTACAAAAGATCATAAAAGAATACTACGAACAATTTTACACCAACAAATAGGATGACCTAGAAGAAATGGTTAGATTTCCAGAAACATAACAACAATGAATTATGAAAAAATAGAAAATCTGAACAGACTAATGAGTAAGGGGGTTGAATCAGTGATAAAAGTCTCCTACCAAAGAAAAGCCCAGAACCTGATGGTTCATGGATTGGAGGAATTAATATTATTAAAATGTCTGTGCTGCTGAAAGTGGTATACAGATTCAATGCAATTCCTATAAAAGTTCTAATGACCTTTTTGTTTCACAGAAATAGAAAAAGCAATTCAAAAATTCATATGGAATGACAAAAATCTTAAGTAGCTAAAGCACTTTTGAGCAAAAAGACCAGAGCTGGAGGCATCACACTACCTGATTAAAGATATATTACAAAGTTATAGTATTCAAAACAGAAAGGTACTGGCATAACAACAGACACATGGACCAATGTAATGTGATAGAGAGCCCAGACATAAACTCATGCATTTGTGATTAATTGATTTTTGCCAAAGATGCCAAGAATAAACACACTATGGGGAAAGGACAGTTTCTTTAATAAATGATGCAGGGGAAATCAAATACCCACATACAGAAGAATGAAATTGAACCCTTATCTCACACCATGTGTAAAAAGCCCACTAAAAATGGTTTAAAGATTTAAATGCGAGACCTGAAAATGTAAAACTACTAGAAGAAAGCATAGGGAAAAATGTCCCTGAAATTAATCTTGGCAATACTTTCTTGGTGATGATCTCAAAAGCTCAGGAAACCAAAGCAGAAGTAGACAAATGGGATTACCTGAAACCAAAAGCTTCTCTACAACAAAGTAAATAACAGATTGAAGAGACAACCCATGGACTGGGAGAAAATATTTACAAACCATACATGGCTAATATCCAAAATATGTAAGAAATGCAAACAACTTAAATTTGTTAGCAAGAAAACAAATAACGCCATTTAAAACTGAGCAATGGACTTGAATGGACATCTTTCAAAAGACCAATAGATATATAAAAAAGTGTCTACATCACTAATCATCAGGGAAATGCAAATTAAAACAAAACAAAGAGATATCACCTCATACCTGTTAGAATGACTATTATCAGTAAACTAAAAGGTAATAAGTACTGACAAGGATGTGGGGAATCCTTATATACTAATGGCAGGAATGTAAATTAATACAGGCATTATTGAAATCAGCATGGAGATTCCTCAAAAAACTAAAGATAGAATTACCATAGGATCTAGCAATTATATTTCTGGATACATAGCCAAAGAGATTGAAATTTGTATTTTAAAAATATGTTGGAGACCAGCCTGACCAATATGGTGAAACCCCATCTCTACTAAAAATACAAAAAAATTAGCCGGCTGTGGTTTGCACCTGTAGTCCCAGCTATTCAGGTGGCTGAGACAGGAGAATTGCTTGAACCTGGGAGGCCAAGTTTGCAGTGAGCTGAGATTATGCCACTGCACTCCAGCCTGGGCTACAGAGCAAGACTCCATCTCAAAAAAAAAAAAAAAAGGGTAGATTTTCCTCTAATTTGGTTTTAACGTCTCTCTTTGAAGAGTGGCTAGAAACTCTAGCCTGGCTCTGATGGGCTCCAGTGGAGGTGGTTGTGGTTGTGGATGTTTTCGGTGTTCTTTTCATGGAATACTTCCTTATCCTGATGGAGAGCTAATGCCTAATTGTCCTATTTATGACCAGGTGTCCCTCTCACTGGAAACTTGTTTTCACTGGCAGACACCATTGTGGCTTTTGTCTGACTAGTGTGTCCAGTTCATTCCTACCAAGATTGCCACTCTCTAAGGGAGCCTTGTCCAGAAAAAAAAATTAATTTCAGGTGTGTCAGGTGAGACGCCAAGAAGACACATAAAAAAAAATAGTATAAGTAGTTTTATTACTTAAAGATTCCAGAGAGAAGAGGGCAACTTGCCTCACAGGCCTAATGGGAGAAAGGGCATCCCTTAGAGACATGCATGTGCAACCAGTGGGTGGGTAGCGAGAGAGAGTGAGTGACAGACCAGAAAGCCAAAGCCCTTATTGGAGTACACAGCATTATCCAAGCAGGGAGTAACTGGTTGCTGGGTTTAGAGCAAGCAGGCATGATTTCTTGGGAGTTAAGTTGTATTGAGAGGTGTTCACTGCTGCAAATCTGCAGTCCATGTGGGGTGTGGGGATCAGTGGGATAAGTCAAGTAGGTTGTATCTAGGTGTCCCACACGGAGGTGGTAACCAAGAGGCCAAATATCTGGATTGACCACCTGAAGAAACTGGGAGAGGAGAACTCAAAATTGTGATAAGGGTGACTAAGTCCTGCTTCTGGCATGAGGAAGTTCAATTATATATTGAAAATGAACGCTGAGGTAACATAAACTCATAAGAATTCACTACAGATATCTGCACTACCATGTTCATTGTAGCATTTTTCACAATAGCTGAGGTATGAAAGGAACCTAAATGTCCATCAACGGATAAACAGATAAATATATAAAAGGGATATAATGTGATATATATGAACCACATTATCTATATAAAATGGAATACTATTCAGCCTTAAAGAAAAAAGGGAAATTCTGTCTTTACAACAACATTCATGAACCTGCAGGACATTATGCGAAGTGAAAGAAGCCAGACACAGAAGGACAAATACCACATGATCTCACTCTTATGTGGAATCTAAAAAAGATAAACTCATACAAGTGGAGAGTAGAATGATAGCTACCTGGGGGGCAGGGGATGGAGAAAGGGGGGATTTTAAACAAGTAGATTTAAATGTTCTCACTATAAGAAAAATAAGTATGTGAGGTGATGACTGTGTTAGCTGGACTTAATCATTCCATATTGCACATATACATATATCAAAAGATCACATTGTACCTAATCAATATATAAAATTATTTGTCAATTAAAATAATAAAAGATTGGAGTAATATTTAAGATTTTTTTAACATTTTGCAGGAAAAATCTTGGAATTGAATTTAAAAGACAACTGGGAAGGCATAAATAATATAGGTCAGTCTCAAAGAGCCCCTCATTAATAAGGAACAGATATGCAGTTTAGTCTTTATGTATTCTAGTTTTTCTGTTGAATGACTCTCAAATCTCTCCTTTTTTTCCAGTTGTCTTGTACATTTGAGCCTTAGCCCCACGGGAAACTGAAAAAAAAAATCGGACGGCTCAGTAAAACCTCTTCCTTTCATTGTAAATGTTACTCACAGCATCTTTTCCCATGTTTGTTGGTGACAAATTCACTGTCATCTCAGTAAGAGTATAACATCATGCTGAAGATATTTCTGTGAAGAGTTTTGTACTGAGAACATCATACCAGGACAACTCCTTGAAGGGCATTAATTGCAGCTTTGGGATTTATACTCCCAAAGGCTGCAGTCAATGAAAGAGTATCCCGTTATTCTTTTTGTTTCCATAAAGATTACATTTGCTCTGGGATAAAGGGTCCATCCCGTGATACCTTGAATGCCCTAAAGTATTCCCACATTCTGCTAAAAAGCAGATCTTTTGGACAAACTCAGGCTCTCTTTTCTGTAGCAATGACAATCACAGTTATTTCCAGACTCTGTTCTTCATAGTTAGATTTAAAACATTGGCAAAAATGTTATAAGAAGGCAATTAGGTTGATGTTTTTAGGTTGTATGGCAACCAGAGAGCCCCTTCATCAGTTTATACCTGATGAGGTTGTAGGCCAGGTAGAGAGTGACAGGGAACAGGGACAAACACAGGAAGGTCAGTACTGAAAGAAGTTGGTGCACTTCTTAAGGGGTAGACAGCTTCCATATTTCAAAATTGCAGAAAGTGTAGATTTTAAATGTTCTTACTACAAAAATATGATGGTTGTGGGGTGATGGATATGTTAACTAGCTTAATATAATCATTCTATAATGTATATATACATCAAAACATTACAGTGTACTCCATAAATATATACAATTATTACTAGTCAATGAAAAATTAAGAAAACAAACCAGATATAGTATAAAGGAATGGATGTGACACAAATTGGCATAATGTCTCTTAATAATAATTGGGGAAGGAAGAGACACTCAGCCATCCATTTTCCCTATAGTATTTGATTTAAAAAAAGAGAGAAGATATTTTATTCTACAACTCATAAAAGCTACATTTGATAGGGTCTTCATTTCCCTCTTTTCCACCAAGAAGAAAATTGAAGCTGAGACTTTTCTCTACATGAGTTCTGGGGGTTTTTTTGTCCCTTATTTCCTATCCCTTTTATCAACTCCGGAGGAATGCTGAAAGATGGGTCATATAACAGATAGTTATCAGATTCCACCTTTTAATTACTGTAATAAGGAACTCAGGCAGCTGCATTCGGAAAGAAAATTAGGTCGGCATCAGCAAAAGTATCCACAGCATTTGAGTTCAAGTATCTTATGGCATATTACCTTTCATCTTAGGGAGATTTAAAAAAATCCTTGGAATTTTCCCATGATTTCTCAAAAGGTTAATGCTCATTCCATTACCAACAATATGGAAAAATGTACAGTATCTTTGTACCAGTCTGGAGCATTTGCACAGATTTGGCCCAAGTTCAATGTTCCTAGCTCTCCAGCTGTAACTCAACCAGTTAGGCAACTCCTTACATCTTTTTCAAGAGTCAAGATTACAATACTTGAGTTATTAAAAGTTTTTCAAAACACTGAAGGTGAGTCGGGTGTAGATATTAGTTTTTTGAGACAGAGTCTTGCTCTGTCACCCAGGCTGGAGGGCAATGGCATGATCTCAGCTCACTGCAACCTCCACCTCCTGGGTTCAAGCGATTCTCCTGCCTCAGCCTCCAGAGTAGCTGGTATTACAGGTGCCCACTACCATGCCTGCCTGGCTAATTTTTGTATTTTTTAGTAGAGATGGTGTTTCACCACGTTGGTCAGGCTGGTCTCAAACTCCTGACCTCAGGTGTTCCACCTGCCTCGGCCTCCCAAAATGCTGAGATTACAGGCATGAGCCACCACGCCTGGCCTCTTTTGCCAAATTTATCAGAGAGTATAAGAGGAAGAGTTGGCTGTGGCAGGAGGGGAGCAGAAGGGGGATGGCAAAACTATGTAGGAATATTGAAATGCTGGGTTCCTGTATTTTATTGCAAAAACTATATCATAAAAGAGTGTTTATCTTTCTCATGCAAGATTGGTAATGTGCAAGAGAAAATAAGCAACTGAAAATCAAGCTATCAAAGCATATTTGAATTTCTTCATTTTAAAAAAATAACTACAAGGTGAATTTTCTGGATTTTATACAATGTTCACGTATCTTTCTACTAATATTAGTTAATGTCTGTTCAGAAGCTCCATTAAAAATTGTGGAAAACCCAGAAAATACAAATTATAAATTGTGACTCAGAATTTAAAGTATAGTTCAGTTATTGGCCTAAAGCATATACAGTTTTGTAGAAACCATGTTTAAGTCTTCTTGTCCTTGTCTAACAAACTTGTTATACATTCTTTCAACTTCGCATACCACATTCAGACCTCTCTTCACTGTTGTGCATCCAAACACTCTCCATTTCTCTCTTACCAACCTATGTTTTTGTTAGACTCTGTAATCTTTATGTCTTCCAGTAATATAGTCTCATTTACCTTTGGAAGCATTCTATCACCGATCACTCTATTTTGCTGTATTAATCAGCTTTGTGTATATTGTGAATTTTTATAAGTTGGTGTGTGCGTGCATATTCTCTTTAAACTTTGATTTGTGCATTATTTTATTTGTCTAGAAATAAACTGCTAGCATAAATAGCATTTGATTCTTTCTATAATCATATTCAATTATTTCTTTTCAGTTAATATTTTAAAGTGACTATCTAATTGCTTTTTAATATGGGAAATTCCTATCTATAAGTAAGATCAGTAAGACTGCTGTTATTCCTTTCTCTGTAATTGCAAAATTGGAAATAGCCTGAAAATATAAAAATAATTTGACTTTTTAAAGTAAAAAATCATTTTTCATAAATATTGTGTTCCTGATTATGGACTATCTTAGTCTTCATTAATCCAAATGTTAATTCAGGGATGTATATAAAGAACTCAGTAACTTGAGAAGCTATTGCTTGTATCTGTAGCTGGATAAATATCTCAATGAAGCATATAAAGGGAACTGTATAAAAATTCTACTACCATTATGGTGCACACTCTCTGGAAGTGGGATACTTTTGTCTTCAATCTGTTTGCAAGTGAGCGGTTGACAATGCATGGACAGACTTTGAGTTTATGTGGTTCTTTCTTTAGGTATAAGAAAAAGATGAATGATGATTAAAAAAAATGCAAGTTCGGAAGACTTCTTTATTCTACTTGGATTTTCTAATTGGCCTCAGCTGGAAGTAGTTCTCTTTGTGGTTATCTTGATCTTCTACCTGATGACACTGACAGGAAACCTGTTCATCATCATCCTGTCATACGTGGACTCCCATCTCCACACACCAATGTACTTCTTCCTTTCAAACCTCTCATTTCTGGATCTCTGCTACACCACCAGCTCTATCCCTCAGTTGCTGGTGAATCTCCGGGGCCCGGAAAAGACCATCTCGTATGCTGGTTGCATGGTTCAACTTTACTTTGTTCTTGCACTGGGAATCACAGAGTGTGTCCTACTGGTGGTGATGTCATATGATCGTTATGTAGCTGTGTGTAGACCTTTGCATTACACTGTCCTCATGCACCCTCGTTTCTGCCACTTGTTGGTTGCGGCTTCTTGGGTAATTGGTTTTACTATCTCAGCACTTCATTCCTCCTTTACTTTCTGGGTACCCCTTTGTGGACATCGCCTAGTGGATCACTTCTTCTGTGAAGTTCCAGCACTTCTGCGTTTATCATGTGTTGACACCCATGCAAATGAGCTGACCCTCATGGTCATGAGCTCCATTTTTGTTCTCATACCTCTCATTCTCATTCTCACTACCTATGGTGCCATTGCCCGGGCTGTACTGAGCATGCAATCAACCACTGGGCTTCAGAAAGTGTTTAGGACATGTGGAGCCCATCTTATGGTTGTATCTCTCTTTTTCATTCCAGTCATGTGCATGTATCTCCAGCCACCATCAGAAAATTCTCCTGATCAGGGCAAGTTCATTGCCCTCTTTTATACTGTTGTCACACCGAGTCTTAATCCTCTAATCTACACTCTCAGAAACAAGCATGTAAAAGGGGCAGCGAAGAGACTATTGGGGTGGGAGTGGGGGAAGTGACAGGGAAATCATGTTGTCTGTTGTCATTGTTTTTCCTAGGGTCTTAGCCATCTTGAAAGGTGGTTTCCCTGCTTCTTTGTGATTTATTTTTGTTCTAACAGCTCACAAAACAGAATAGTTCAGTCTCACATTTGTTGCTCTTTTTATTATTTAGTTCTGAAATATTATGTTGAGATAAAGTTTCTGATTAGTGCCACTTTGTTCTTTTACAATTGTATATTTTATTTCTGTGAAAATTGTGGACTGTGGTTTCAACGTAAATAAATGTGCATGCGAATAGTTATGAGGAGATTATTTCAAAAATGTTGGGAATATTTCTAACAATGTGCTAAATTATGAACTGATGATATATACAGAAAGAGAAGGGCAATATTGCAAAGACTTAGGCTAAAAAGGTTTTTGGTTATTGAATAAACCTTAAATGAAGCTAAAAATAGTCACAGCAAAGAAAAATGGTAAACATAATGAATAACATTGTTTAAGATATGGTAAAGGATATATCATAAGTATTTGGTTGAAAGACACTTTTTAAAGACACTAAATTATCTAATTTATCCTGTAGGTCTACATACTTGTCACATTGAACAGTAAACTAATATCTCTTTAAAATGGCTCTTTCGTTCATCTGTCCATTTATTCATTAACTTATTCTTTATTAGCTAAATCTTATTGAATGTGTACTCTCTTCCAGTTTGTGAAATTCTTGGTAACATGTATAAATATAACATACTCTGTCTGAACAGAACACACTCTCTGTCAGGAAAAATGGCAACATAAAAGATGAAGTATCTGTGCATGGCTTAATTTGTCACTGGGGGTAATGCTAATACATTAAGACAGCTTTTAAAAGTCAGAAACAATAAACTCTGATTACTCTTCAGATTGTATAAATCTTTCTTTCACTTTTTAAAAATCAAAAACAAGGCCGAGCACGGTGGCTCACACCTGTAATCCCAGCACTTTGGAAGGCCGAGTCAGGTGGATCATGAGGTCAGGAGACCAAGACCATCCTGGCTAACAAGGTGAAACCCCATCTCTACTAAAAATACAAAACAATTAGCTAGGCATGGTGGCACATGCCTGTAGTCCCATTGAAGCTAAACTTTTTTTTCACTTTACATGAACATTTTGAAATCACTACTAAATTCAATATTTTCAACATATTATTTCATCCGTATGTAAAATTATTGGGATTGCAATTGTTATGTTTTCTATAATCACATTTTTGAAAATAACCTGAAAATGCTGAAAAGAAAAGTTCCTTATTCATTAACAAAGAAAAATTTTGTGTTTTATGGAAATTATCTTCCTTAGCTAGGTTAGAAATTTCTTTCAATTACCATTTACCTAGAAGTCACCATAAAATGAATGGGAAGAACTCGATAGTTATTCTTCTATAAGGCAAATATATGAATAAAATATAAAATTAAAAAATTGTTTTCTATTTTTTGTGACTTTTTATTATGGTAAAATTTCAAACTTAGAGAAGAATTGCAAAAAAGTAGTACAAAGACTGACATTTACCCTATAACCAGATTAAGCATTAGTTTACATTTTCCCCCAAAGCTTTGTTATATCATCTATCTATCTATCTATCTATCTATCTATATCTCTATCATCTATTATATCTATCTATCTATCTATCTATCTATCTATCTATCTATCATCTATCTCTTTTTCTGCACTAGCTGAGAGTAAGTTGGAGATGCCACGTACCTTTACACCAAGTACTTTTTTTTTTAATTATTAGGTCATTTTTATTCCTTTTAAATTTTTTATTTTGTGTTAATTATTTGTCTGCATTCTATGTACATAACTGTATTGGAGTTTCAGTTTCATATTAAGTTGTATAAACTTTTGTGTTCCAAGGTTATACAAATTCATATGTATTTTCTTAGTTCATTGCCTCTTATTTTGGTTTGTTACAATTTGTGATGTTAAAAGTCTAAAAATGTGTGCGTGGTTAATACTATCTATTGTTCATTAACATTGTGGTTTCTTCCTTTTCTTAATGCTATAATGTTCTTTTATTATAATTATTATTATTATACTTTAAGTTCTACGGTACATGTGCACAACCTGCAGGTTTATTACATATGTATACATGTGCCATGTTGCTGTGCTGCACCCATTAACTCGTCATTTACATTAGGTATATCTCCTCATGCTATCCCTCCCCCCACCACACAACAGGCCCCGGTGTGTGATGTTCCCCTTCCTGTGTCCAAATGTTCTCATTGCTCAATTCCCACTCATGAGTGAGAACATGCGGTGTTTGGTTTTTTGTCCTTGGGATAGTTTGCTGAGAATGATGGTTTCCAGCTTCATCCATGTCCCTACATGGACATGAACTCATCATTTTTTATGGCTGCATAGTATTCCATGGTGTATATGTGCCACATTTTCTTAATCCACTCTATCATTGTTGGACATTTGGGTTGGTTCCAAGTCTTTGCTGTTGTGAATAGTGCCGTAATAAACATACGTGTGCATGTGTCTTTCTAGCAGCATGATTTATAATCCTTTGGGTATATACCCAGTAATGGGATGGCTGGGTCAAATGGTATTTCTAGTTCTAGATCCCTGAGGAATCACCACACTGACTTCCACAATGGTTGAACTAGTTTACAGTCCCACCAACAGTGTAAAAGTGTTCCTATTTCTCCACATCCTGTCCAGCACCTGTTGTTTCCTGACTTTTTAATGATTGCCATTCTAACTGGTGTGAGGTGGTATCTCATTGTGGTTTTGATTTGCATTTCTCTGATGGCCAGTGATGGTGAGCATCTTTTCATGTGTTTTTTGGCTGCATAAATGTCTTCTTTTGAGAAGTGTCTGTTCATGTCCTTCGTCCACTTTTTGATGGGGCTGTTTGTTCTTTTCTTGTAAATTTGTTTGAGTTCATTGTAGATTCTGGATATTAGCCCTTTGTCAGATGAGTAGCTTGCAAAAATTTTCTCCCATTCTGTAGGTTGCCTATTCACTCTGATGGTAGTTTCTTTTGCTGTGCAGAAACTCTTTAGTTTAATTAGATCCCATTTGTCAATTTTGGCTTTTGTTGCCATTGCTTTTGGTGTTTTAGACATGAAGTCCTTGCCCATGCCTATGTCCTGAATGGTATTGCCTAGGTTTTGTTCTAGGGTTTTTATGGTTTTAGGTCTAACATTGAAGTCTTTAATCCATCTTGAATTAATTTTTGTATAAGGTGTAAGGAAGGGATCCAGTTTCGGCTTTCTACATATAGCTAGCCAGTTTTCCCAGCAGCATTTGTTAAATAGGGAATCCTTTCCCCATTTCTTGTTTTTTTCAGGTTTGTCAAAGATCAGATAATTGTAGATGTGTGGTATTATTTCTGAGGGCTGTATTCTGTTCCTTTGCTCTATATCTCTGTTTTGGTACCAGTACCATGCTGTTTTGGTTACTGTAGCCTTGTAGTATAGTTTGAAGTCAGGTAGCGTGATGCCTCCAGCTTTGTTCTTTTGGGTTAGGATTGGCTTGGCAATGCGGGCTCTTTTTTGGTTCCATATGAACTTTAAAGCAGTTTTTTCCAATTCTGTGAAGAAAGTCATTGGTAGCTTGATGGGGATCGCACCGAATCTATAAATTACCTTGGGCAGTATGGCCATTTTCGCGATATTGATTCTTCCTATCCATGAGCATGGAATGTTCTTCCATTTGTTTGTATCCTCTTTTATTTCATTGAGCAGTGGTTTGTAGTTCTCCTTGAAGAGGTCCTTCACATCCCTTGTAAGTTGTATTCCTAGGTATTTGATTCTCTTTGAAGCAATTGTGAATGGGAGTTCACTCATGATTTGGCTCTCTGTTTGCCTGTTATTGGTGTATAAGAATGTTTGTGATTTTCGCACATTGATTTTGTATCCTGAGCCTTTGCTGAAGTTGCTTATCAACTTAAGGAGATTTTGGGCTGAGATGATGGGGTTTTCTAGATATACAATCATGTCATCTGCAAACAGGGACAATTTGACTTCCTCTTTTCCTAATTGAATACCCTTTATTTCTTTCTCCTGCCTGATTGCCCTGGCCAGAACTTCCAACACTATGTTGAATAGGAGTGGTGAGAGAGGGCATCCCTGTCTTGTGCCAGTTATCAAAGGGAATGTTTCCAGTTTTTGCCCATTCAGTATGATATTGGCTGTGGTTTTGTCATAAATAGCTCTTATTATTTTGAGATACGTTCCATCAATACCTAGTTTATTGAGAGTTTTTAGCATGAAGGGCTTTTGAATTTTGTCAAAGGCCTTTTCTGCATCTATTGAGATAATCATGTGGTTTTTGTCTTTTGTTCTGCTGGATTACGTTTATTGATTTGCGTACGTTGAACCAGCCTTGCATCCCAGGGATGAAGCCCACTTGATCATGGTGGATAAGCTTTTTGATGTGCTGCTGGATTCGGTTTGCCAGTATTTTATTGAGGATTTTTGCATCGAGGTTCATCAGGGATGTTGGTCTAAAATTCTTTTTTTGTTGTGTCTCTGCCAGGCTTTGGTATCAGGATGATGCTGGCCTCATAAAATGAGTTAGGGAGGATTCCCTCTTTTTCTATTGATTGGAGTAGTTTCAGAACGAATGGTACCAGCTCCTCCTTGTACCTCTGGTAGAATTCGGCTGTGAATCCGTCTGGTCCTGGACTTTTTTTTGGTTGGTAAGCTACTAATTATTGCCTCAATTTCAGAGCCTGTTATTTGGTCTATTCAGAGATTCAACTTCTTCCTGGTTTAGTCTTGGGAGGGTGTATGTGTCGAGGAATTTATCCATTTCTTCTAGATTTTCTAGTTTATTTGCACAGAGGTGTTTATAGTATTCTCTGATGGTAGTTTGTGTTTCTGTGCGATCGGTGGTGATATCCCCTTTATCATTTTTTGTTGTGTCTATTTGATTCTTCTCTCTTTTCTTCTTTATTAGTCTTGCTAGCAGTCTATCAATTTTGTTGATCTTTCAAAAAACCAGCTCCTGGATTCATTGATTTTTTGAAGGGTTTTTTGTGTGTCTATCTCCTTCAGTTCTGCTCTGATCTTAGTTATTTCTTGCCTTCTGCTAGCTTTTGAATGTGTTTGCTCTTACTTCTCTAGTTCTTTTAATTATGATGTTAGGGTGTCAGTTTTAGATCTTTCCTGCTTTCTCTTGTGGACATTCAGTGTTATAAATTTCCCTCTACACACTGCTTTAAATGTGTCCCAGAGATTCTGGTATGTTGTATCTTTGTTCTCGCTGGTTTCAAAGAACATCTTTATTTCTGCCTTCATTTCGTTATGTACCAGTAGTCATTCAGGAGCAGGTTGTTCAGTTTCCATGTAGTTGAGTGGTTTTGAGTGAGTTTCTTAATCCTGAGTTGTAGTTTGATGGCACTGTGGTCTGAGAGACAGTTTGTTATAATTTCTGTTCTTTTACATTTGCTGAGGAGTGCTTTTCTTCCAGCTATGTGGTCAATTTTGGAATAAGTGTGATGTGGTACTGAGAAGAATGTATATTCTGTTGATTTGGGGTGGAGAGTTCTGTAGATGTCTATTAGCACTGCTTGGTGCAGAGCTGAGTTCAATTCCTGGATATCCTTGTTAACTTTCTGTCTTGTTGATCTGTCTATTGTTGACAGTGGGGTGTTAAAGTCTCCCATTATTATTGTGTGGGAGTCTAAGCCTCTTTGTAGGTCTCTAAGGACTTGTTGTATGAATCTGGGTGCTCTTGTATTGGGTGCATGTATATTTAGGATAGTTAGCTCTTCTTGTTGAATTGATCCCTTTACCATTATGTAATGGCCTTCTTTGTCTCTTTTGATCTTTGTTGGTTTAAAGTCTATTTTATCAGAGACTAGGATTGCAACCCCTCCCTTTTTTTGTTTTCCATTTGCTTGGTAGATCTTCCTCCATCCCTTTATCTTGAACCTATGTGTGTCTCTGCATGTGAGATGGGTTTCCTGAATACAGCACACTGATGGGTCTTGACCCTTTATCCAATTTGCCAGTCTGTGTCTTTTAATTGGAGCATTTAGCCCATTCAAGACATTTACACCAAATATTTTATTCAATGTTTCTTGTCTAAGAAGAAGGATGTTATTTTACATAAGTCCTGCACAGTACCCAAATCAGCAAATTTAATATGGGCACAATATTATTATCTAATCCATAGTCCACAGTGAGATTTCTTAAATAGTCCCAATAATTTTGTTAATAGCCACTTTTTAAAAAAATCCCAGATGATACACTGAGAAATCACATCTCACTAGTCTCCTTCCATCTGGACCAGTGCCACAGCCTTTGTTTGTCTACTTAAACTTGATACTTTTGAATTGTACAGGCAAACTATTTCTCTCAATTAGAGTTTTTCTCATGTGTCTTCATTATTAGAATTAGTCTGTGTATTTTTAACATAAATATCACTGAGGTGACATCATGTCCTGTTCAGAGCAGCATCTCAGCAGTCTCATGATGTTGGTTTGTACAAATACAGGTGATCTTAAGATCAATAAAATCACTTGGTTATGTTGGTGTCTGCCAGGTTTTTCTACTGTAAACTTCACTGTTTTTCAGTTTGAAATTAACAAGAAAGTTGTGAGGAGATATTTTAGACTATGTACATGTCCTGTTCCCCATCAAATTTTTATCCACTAGTTTTGCAATCATTTATGTTTTTCTTAACACCATTATCCCTTCTATGTTTATTAATTAGGGATCTACTGTTAGGAATGGCTTTTTCTTCACCATTCATTTATTTACTCTTACTTTTTATATCAGTACGAGCTTTATAATTCTTCTTTTGTTAAGTTCATTACTACTAATGGTTAAATTGTCCTACAATTAAATGATGGCAAGCCCTTCAAACTGGATTTTATTTTTTTTACGTATCCTGATGTTTTTTGGAGCATTTGTTTACTGCTTTTTGAGTTTACCTGATTTTTTTTTTCTCTCAGGTAATAGGAAATGAATGATGATGGAAAAGTCAATGCTAGCTCTGAGGGGTACTTTATTTTAGTTGGATTTTCTAATTGGCCTTATCTGGAAGTAGTTCTCTTTGTGGTTATTTTGATCTTCTGCTTGATGACACTGATAGGAAACCTGTTCATCATCATCCTGACATACCTGGACTCCCATCTCCATACTCCCTTGTATTTCTTCCTTTCAAATCTCTCATTTCTGGATCTCTGCTACACCACCAGCTCTATCCCTCAGTTGCTGGTCAGTCTCTGGGGTGTGGGAAAGACCATTTCTTATGCTGGTTGCATGGTTCAACTTTACTTTGTTCTCACACTGGGAACCACAGAGTGTTTCCTACTGGTGGCGATGTCCTATGACCGTTATGCAGCTGTGTGTAGACCTTTGCATTACACTGTCCTCATGCACTCTCGTTTCTGCCACTTGTTGGCTGTGGCTTCTTGGGTAAGTGGTTTTACAAACCCAGCACTTCATTCCTCCTTCACCTTCTGGGTACCTCTGTGTGGACACCGCCAAATAGATCACTTTTTCTGTGAAGTTCCGGCACTTTTATGATTATCATTTGTCAATACCCGTGAAAATAAACTGACCCTCATGATCACAAGCTCCATTTTTGTTCTGCTACTTCTCACCCTCATTTTCACTTCCTATGGTGCTATTGCCCAGGCTGTACTGAGGATGCAGTCAACCACTGGGCTTCAGAAAGTATTTGGAACATGTGGAGCTCATCATATGGTTGTATCTCTCTTTTTCATTCCGGCCATGTGCATGTATCTCCAGCCACCATCAGGGAATTCTCAAGATCAAGGCAAGTTCATTGCTCTCTTTTATACTGTTGTTACACCTAGTCTTAACCCTCTAATCTACACCCTCAGAAACAAAGATGTAAGAGGGGTAGTGAAGAGACTAAGGGGGTGGGAGTGAGCCTGTGTTTGTGTGATATTAACAATATAATGGAGTCTTTCCTCACAATGATTCATCCATCTGTTCATTTATCAACCATTCTTTTATTCACTCACTCTGTTAGCACTTGCTGAGCATGTACTCTAACAAAGTCGTGGAGATCCTGGTAACAGGTAGGAATAAAACACATTCAGCTTAAATACCATTCACTTTTGGAGAAAACAGCTGTGTAAAATCAAGATAAAACATCTATAGTGATGTTTTTCCATGGCACAAACCTAATGAATACAAGAAAGACTTTTCCTGATTAAAAATAAGGCATGAAATTTGTTGTAAATATTGATAAAAGTGAAGTTATAATTCCTATGAAAAGATGATACTCTCAATTTTAAAATATCTAGAATATGTCTTTTAATTTTTTGCTGTTTAGGCAGAATACTTTTGTCTTCTATCTTTAGTTTAGTTGAATACACAGCAAAATACTTCAAATCCTTTCCTCCAACACTACTTATTTTTTGTTGGATGTAAATTTTGAGAGGAATTTTGGTCCATATTCTTTGATATCCAATATCAATAGTAAGACAATAAGTTTTATAAATTGTAGCAAGAGAGATGTTGAAGCAGTGTAGCAGAAGTCGGCGTCCAAGATCCCTCTTTTTTACAAGGCAGTGAGAAGGATATTGGAGGTGAAAGGAGCTGGTAAAGCTGACCTATGTAGCTTATAAAGAAATGGTCATCACCGTCTAGGTATACTTAGGTGAGGTAAGTGCTTGGAGCAACTGCATTACCTAAAGAGCTATGGAGAACATTTGAGGCAAATAGAGAGGCTCTGAAAATGACTTGAAGTCAATGGGTGTATAAAAGAATTATGTTTAAATATACTGGAAAATTTTTATGATAAAAGCTGTTATATGGAAAATGTTAGTTTATTTTTATTTTTAAGTTTGTTCTAATTTGAATATTTATAGTTAATAAGTATATTAGGAATATCAATATATGGTTTCAAATAAATATATTTTATAGAAGTTATCATTTTGTTCTATATATTATTGTCAACCATCTTCATCTGAAATAATTGCGTTATACCTAGAGCAATTTAAACTGACAGTCATAGTCAAATGATGTGGAAAAATGACTAAAGGAGAATTCAGTATAATGTAACGTACTTGCAATGCCTGAGTTTTCTCTATAACTGGAATGTCAGCTGTAGCTTTTGAGGCCTGTGAGATTTGGATGTGATTGATTCACACACTATTTCCTAAATTATAAAAATAAAAATGCATCTCGGAACTTCCCTCCAATTTCTAGTGTGACTTGCAATTGCATTGATTCTGCTGACTTTATCTTCTTTCTGCATCTGTGACTCTTCCTTTATTTCTAACTAGGCATGAAAAATATGAGTCATTTGCCCTTGTCCTTAAGCTTACCCAAGAAATGAAGAACCAAGAATAGTGTATGTAAAATAACTTCTAGTAAACAATTGAGACCACTTAGGGTAAAACATCACATAAAAACAAATTTTTTAAAACTTAAAGAACATAGCTTAGCTCTTTGAACTATTTCCTACTATGGAAATCTTACGATTTGTAACACTTCCTGTAGCATCCTGGTTTCTCACCTACTCAAATATCCTCTCCATCTTTATTAAGTGAAAAGTTGTATTTATTTATGATATACAGCATAAAGTTTTGATATATGTATAATTATGCAATTATTATTCAAGCTAATTAACAAATCATTAACTCACATACTTACCTGTTTTGTGGTGAGAACATTTAGGATCTGTTATCTTAGCAATTTTCAAGTATGCAGTACAGTTTTATTAACTATAGTCACCATACTATAGAATAGATCTCTTGAATTTATTCCTTCTAACTGAAACTTTGTACCCTTTGACCAGCATCTCCCCATTTTCCCTCCCTCCACTGCTAACCCCTGACAAGCCTCATTCTACTACTTTGTGCTTCTATGAGTTCATTTTATGTAGATTTCACACATTAGATCGTACAGTATTTATTTTTCTGTGCCTGGCTCATTTTACTTAGCAAAGTGTCCTCAGGTTTGCCATGTGTTTGAAAATATTAGGACTTCCTTCTTATTTTAAGGCAGAATAGTATTCTATTGTATATAAACTACACTTTTTAAATTCACTCATTCATTGATTGACTCTTAGATTGATTCAATACTTTGGCTATTATGAATTTGCTGCCATATTCATGGAAGTGGAGATAGCTCTTCAACATAGTGATTTAATTCTTTTGGATATAAACCCAGAAGTGTGATTGATGGATCATATGGCAGTTCTATTTTTATTTATTATTAATTAATTAATTAATTAATTTTTTGAGACAGAGTCTCGCTCTGTCGCCCAGGCTGGAGTGCAGTGGTGGGATCTCGGCTTACTGCAACTCCCACCTCCTGGGTTCTAGCGATTGTCTTGCCTCAGCCTCCAGAGTAGCTGGGACTACAGGTAAGCACCACCACGCCCAGCTAATTTCTGTATTTTTAGTAGAGACAGGATTTCTTGTGTGTGTGTGTGTGTGTGTGTGTGTGTGTGTGTGTGTCCTAGCAAATCTTTAATTACCCTAAGGCTGATGTAGTTTCTCGTATAAGTTCTTATGAAATCTTTTATTTTTCATTATTTTTATGTTTATTTTACTTTAAGTTCTCGGATACATGTGCAGAATGTGCAAATTTGTTACATAGGTATACATGTGCCATAGTGGTTTGCTGCACCTATCAACCTGTCATCTAGGTTTTAAGCCCCATATGCATTAGATATTTGTCCTAATGCTCTCCCTCTCCTTCCCCCTGAACCCGTGACAGGCCCCAGTGTGTGATGTTGCCCTCCCTGTGTCCATGTGTTCTCATTGTTTAACTACCGCTTATGAGTGAGAACATGCAGTGTTTAGTTTTCTGTTCCTGTGTTATTTTGCTGAAAATAATGGTTTCCAGCTTCATCCATGTCCCTGCAAAGGACATGAACTCATTCTTTTTTATGGCTGCATAGTATTCCAAGGTGTATATGTGCCACATTTTCTTCATCCAGTCTATTATTGATGGGCATTTGGGTTGGTTCCAAGTCTTTCCTATTGTAAATGGTGCTGCAATAAACATACATGTGCATGTGTCTTTATAGTAGAATGATTTATAATCCTTTGGATATATACGCACTCATGGGATTGCTGGGTCAAATGGTATTGCTGGTTCTAGATCCTTGAGGAATCGCCACACTGTCTTCCACAATGGATGAACTAATTTACTCTCCCACCAACAGTGTAAAAGCATTCCTATTTCTCCACAGACTCGCCAGCATCTGTTGTCTCCTGACATTTTAATAATTGCCATTCTAACTAGTGTGAGATGGTATCTCGTGGTTTTGATTTGCATTTCTCGAATGACCAGTGATGACGAGCTATTTTTCATGTGTTTGTTGGCTCCATAAATGCCTTCTTTTGAGAAGTTTCTATTTATATCCTTTGCTCACTTTTTGATGGGGTTGTTTGTTTTATTTTCATAAATTTGTTTAAGTTCCTCATATATTCTGGATATTAGACTTTTGTCAGATGCATAGATTGCAAAAATTTTGTCCCATTCTGTAGGTTGCCTGTTCACTCTGATGGTAGTTTCTTTTGCTGTGCAGCAGCTCTTCAGTTTAATTAGATCCCATTTGTCAATTTTGTCTTTTGTTGCCGTTGCTTTTGGTGTTTTAGTCATGAAGTCTTTGCCCATGCCTATATCCTGAATGGTATTGCCTAGGTTCTTTTCTAGGGTTTATATGGTTTTGGGTTCTACATTTAAGTCTTTAAGCTATCTTGAGTTAATTTTTGCCTAAGGTATAAGGAAGGGGTCCAGTATCAGTTTTCTGCATATGGCTAGCCAGTTTTCCCACCACCATTTGTTAAACAGAGAATCCTTTCCCCATTGCTTGTTTCTGGTAGAGATGGGATTTCACCATGTTGGCCAGGCTGGTCTCAAACTCCTGACCTCAGGTGATCTGCCGACCTCGGCCTCCCAAAGTGTTGGAATTACAGGCATAAGCCACTGCGCCTGGCCCTATTTTAAATTTATTTAGGAAACTTCATAGTGTTTTCCCTCATGGCTGTCCTAATTTACATTTCAAAAAACAATGTAACAATGTATAAGAATTCTCTTTTCTCCATATTCTTCCCACCACCTGTTGTCCTTTGTGTTTTTCATAATAGATCTAACTGGTGTGAGGTATGAGGTGATAGCTACTGGTGTGGGCCTGAACTTTAGGTCCAGTGGAACCTAGAGTGGTGGGGATCAACCTGAAGCCTGGAACTGGCCTGGTTCTAGAGTGGAACTTGCTGCCTTAGGGGCTTGTCTGGAGCCTGGGTTTATGGGGCCCAGCTTATATGTGCTGGTCTGGAGGCTAGGCCCTTGGGTACTGGCATGGATCTTGGGACTACAGAGTCTGACCTAGGGGGCCAACTGGCACTGGAAAGTCCTATTTTGCCGTTTTATTGATATCACTTCTCACTCTCTAAATTTTTTTTGGCTTTTTAATTTTCTGGGCTCTTTTCTCCTTCTTCTCTTACAAAATATATACATTTTCTTTTATATGTGTAGACTTTTTGTTTTCTTTTGGGAGGTTATGTTGGGAACAGGCCCCCAAATCTGGCCATAAACTGGCCCCAAAACTGGCCATAAACAAAATCTCTGCAGCCCTGTGACATGTTTGTGATGGCCATGATGCCCATGCCGAAGGTTGTGGGTTTACCAGAATGAGGGCAAGGAACACCTGGCCCACCCAGGGCAGAAAACCGCTTAAAGGCATTCCTAAATCACAAACAATAGCATGAGTGATCTGTGCCTTAAGGACATGTTTCTGCTGCAGATAACTAGACAGAGCCCATCCCTTTGTTTCGGCCCATCCCTTTGTTTCCCTTAAGGAATACTTTTAGTTAATCTATAATCTATAGAAATAATGCTTATCACTGGCTTCGTGTCAATCAATATGTGGGTCAAACTCTGTTCAGGGCTCTCAGCTCTGAAGGCTGTGAGTGCCCTGATTTCCCACTCCATACTCTATATTTCTGTGTGTGTGTCTTTAATTCCTCTAGTGCCGCTGGGTTAGCATCTCCATGATCGAGGTGGTCTTGGCAAGGTTATAATTATAGGATATCTAATATTGAATCCTAGTCATATTAACCTGTGCTATTTAATTTGTAATCTGAAAGTGATCAGTTACTAATAATTCCCCCAAAGTGTAACACAGATATTATTGTTTTTATTGTTTTGTACTTTTCAAACCAGTCAAGCAAACTTTATGCAGCAGAACAACAAGAATGAGTTCTCTCACTTTATCAAACTGAAGGGAGGAGATAGGTGCTTGCATAAGCTCTGGCAACTTGTATATGAAAAAATCAGGGTAAGGACAATACATTTTTAGCTCTGACGACCTGTTCCTATGTCAACAACACTGAAGGCAAAGTAGAAGCCCTGAGATGCTCCCCTTGTCAGGCCTAAACCTCATGTCAACGTTTGTGAACTGGGATTTCCAAAGCAGAAATGAATTTATGCGGCAAGCAATTTTACTGTAGAACTAACAGTGAAGCCAGCTTTTTCCCAGATAGGAATGATGACTAACTGCACTGAAGCATCAGCTTCTTTTTCCCTGTAAACTTCTGTCAGGAATACCACAAAAGTGTGATTGTGTTCTCCTTAGTGCATCCTATCAGTATGTACATATTTCTTTATTCTGTTATGGGCAATATTGGCTTTGATTACTTGGTTAATGTTGTATCTGCCAGGCATCTTTACTATAAAAATTAGTGTTTTTCTCAGTAATATATAAGTGTCATGTGGGGAAGTATGTTGAGATTAGGTAGCATTCTGTTTTTTAACTAGCTTTCATCCACTAGTTTTATTAGTAAGCATCCCTTAATATTCCTTCCCAGAAACAATTATTACTATAGTGGTTTCCAAGTAATGATTCTTAAAGTTCCATCATTCCTTCCAAATTTAATAATTTGTGTGGCAGGCTAAATACTTCCTCTCCTTCTCTCAAATGATCACAACCTAATCACTGGGATAAGTTATTATATATTACCTTACGTGGCAAAATTAATTTTATTTTTTATATTTTAAGTCCTGGAAGACATGTGCGGAATGTGCAGGTTTGTTACATAGGCATACATGTGCCATGCTGGTTTGCTGCACCCATCAACTCATCATCTACATTAGGTATTTCTCCTAATGCTATCTCTCCCTAGCCCTCCCACCTTCTAACAGACCCTACTGTGTGATGTTCCCATCCCTGTGTCCATGTGTTCTCACTGTTCAACTCCCACTTATGAGTGAGAACATGCAGTGTTTGGTTTTCTGTTCCTGTTTTAGTTTGCTGAGAATGATGGTTTCCAGTTTCATCCATGTCCCTACAAAGGACATAAACTCGTTCTTTTTTATGGCTGCATAGTATTCCATGGTGTATATGTGCTACATTTTCTTATTCCAGTCTATCATTGATGGGCATTTGGGTTGGTTCCAAGTCTTTGCTATTATGAATGGTGCTGCAATAAACATACATGTGCATGTGTCTTTATAGTAGAATGATTTATAATCCTTTGGGTATATACCTAGTAATGGGATTGCTGAGTCAAATGGTATTGCTGGTTCTAGATCCTTGAGGAATTGCCCCACTGTCTTCCACAATGGATGAACTAATTTACATTCTCACCAACAGTGTAAAAGCATTCCTATTTCTCCACATCCTCTCCAGCATCTGTTGTTTCCTGACTTTTTAATGATCACCATTCTAACTGGTGTGAGATGGTATCTCATTGTGGTTTTGATTTACATTTCTCTAATGACCAGAGATAATGAGCTTTTTTTCATATGTTTGTTGGCTGCATCAATGTCTTTTTTAGAGAACTGTCTGTTCATATCCTTCGCCCACTTTTTGATGGGGTTGTTTTTTCTTGTAAATTTGTTTAAATTCTTTGTAGACTCTGGATATTAGCCCTTTGCCAGATGGATAGATTGCAAAAATTTTCTCCCATTCTGTAGGCTGCTTGTCCAGAAGGTTTCTTTTGCTGTGCAGAAGCTCTTTAGTTTAATTAGATCCCATTTGTCAATTTTGTCTTTTCTTGCCATTGCTTTTGGTGTTTTAGTCATGAAGTCTTTGCCCATGCCTATATCCTGAATGGTATTGCCTAGGTTTTCTTCTAGGGTTTTTATGGTTTTAGGTCTTACGTTTAAGTCTTTCATCTGTCTTGAGTTAATTTTTGTGTAAGGTGTAAGGAAGGGGTCCAGTTTCAGTTTTCTGCATATGGCTAGCCAGTTTTCCTAACACCATTTATTAAATAAGGAATCCTTTCCCCATTGCTTGTTTTTGTCTGGTTTGTCAAAGATCAGGTGGTTGTAGACGTGTGGCATTATTTCAGAGGCCTCTGTCCTGTTCCATTGGTCTATATATCCGTTTTGGTACACATACCATGCTGTTTTGGTTACTGTATTCTTGTAGTATAGTTTAAAGTCAGGTAGCATGATGCCTCCAACTTTCTCCTTCTTGCTTAGGATTGTCTTGGTTATACGGGCTCTGTTTTGGTTCCATGTGATATTTAAAGTAGTTTTTTTCTAATTCTGTGAAGAAAGTCAGTGGTAGCTTGATTGGGATAGCACTGAATCTATAAATTACTTTGGGCAGTATGGCCATTTTCATGATATTGATTCTTTGGTATGTTTTTGCAGTGGCTGGTACTGATTTTTCTTTTCCATATTTAGTACTTCCTTCAGGAACTCCCGTAAGGCAGGACTGGTGGTGACGAAATCTCTCAGCATTTGCTTGTCTGTAAAGGATTTTGTTTCTCCTTCACTTATGAAGCTTAGTTTGGCTGGATATGAAATTCTGGGCTGAAAATTCTTTTCTTTAAGAATTTTGAATATTCGTTCTCACTCTCCCCTCGCTTGTAGGGTTTTTGCTGAGAGACCTGCTGTTAGTCTGATGGGCTTCCCTTTGTGGGTAACGCGACCTTTCTCTCTGGCTGCCCTTAACATTTTTTTTCTTTCATTTCAACCTTGGTGAATATTATGATTATGTGTCTTGGGGTTGCTGTTCTTGAGGAATATCTTAGTATTTTTCTCTGCATTTCCTGAATTTGAATGTTGACCTGTCTTGCTAGGTTGGGGAAATTCTCCTGGATTATATCCTGAAGAGTGTTTTCAAGCTTGGTTCCATTCTCCCCATCACTTTCAGGTACACCAATCAAACGTAGGTTTGGTCTTTTCACATAGTCCCATATTTCTTGGAGGCTTTGTTCATTCATTTTCATTCTTTTTTCTCTAATTTTGTCTTCACGCTTTATTTCATTAAGTTGAATTTCAATCTCTGATATCCTTTCTTCTGCTTAATCAATTCGGCTATTGATACCTTTGTATGCTTCACAAAGTTCTCGTGCTGTTTTTCAGCTCCATCAGGTCATTTATGTTCTTCTCTAAACTGATTAATTTAGTTAGGAAGTCTTCTATCTTTTCTTCAAGGTTCTTAGCTTCCTTGCATTGGGTTAAAACATGCTCCTTTAGCTTGGAGGAGTTTGTTATTACCCACCTTCTGAAGCCTACTTGTGTCAATTCGTCAAACTCATTCCCCATCCAGTTTTGTTCCCTTGCTCGTGAGGAGTTGTGATCCTTTGGAGGAGAAGAGGCGTTCTGGATTTTGGAATTTTCAGCCTGCAAAAGGGTTTTTATAGATGTGATTAAATTCTCAACCTTGAGTTGGGATTATTATCCTGTATTAGCCAGGAGGGCTGACATAATCACACATATCCATATAAGAGAGAGGGCATGTAAGTTCTTTCCTGCCACATTCTTAGTCAGAGAGAAGATATTCTGCTGCTGACTTTAAAGATAGAGGAATGGGCCATGAGCCACGGAATACAGGTTGCTTCTAGAAGCTGGAGTAGTTGAGGAAACATGTTCTGTCCTAGAGCCTGCGGAAGATGTGCAGCCCTGTAGATCCAATTTAGTCTTTCTTTCTCCAGATATATAAGATATTTTTGTTATTTTAAACACCAAATTTGTAGTAATTTGTTTTAGCAACAATGGGAAACTAATAGAGTTGGCATTCTATATGAAGGAATAGCTTTCCTTTGTTCCTGTGTGTGTGTGTGTGTACGTGTGTGTATCAGGTATTATTTATCTATGTGTCTATCCATATATCTTAATATGGTCTTATGCATTCTTATTTCATTCTATCATTATTTTGATGCTGAAATGGTCAGTGTTTTGGCTAGAGAGGATCCCTTCTGGGTGGCTTATATGTCTTTTTTATATGTCTCCATACTTCTTAAAATATTTTCTTACTGTTGGCAAACTCAGATGAACTTGACATATCTGACACTTTTCTTTGGGAGGAACAGATAACTTTGTTTATCTTAGGTCAAATGACAAAAACTTTGAATAAAGCAATGGGGTTTCCTAATGAACAATTCACTAGAAATGCATGGAGTAGATAACACCAAGAGATGGTAATATTGTTGGCAAATATTTATTTTGTTATAACACCACATTTCTTTACCCTCTCAGGAAATGGAAAGTTTTTGTATTGTGCTTGAGAGTGGGGCAATGGTGAAGAACAGTGACTGGCTATGGGTTTGGGGAGTCATTTGGCAGGAGTGTAAATCCTTGAAATTTGAAGATCTTTCAAATTACCTTGATTCTCCTCAACAAAATACTAGCAAACCAAATCCAACAGCATATAAAAACCCAATTTCTTAGCTTTTTGATGAAATAGCTGTTTCCTCACGTTTTCTATCTTCTAGAGGTGACCTATATTCCTTGGCTCATGGCCCATTCTTCTATCTTTAAAGTCAGCAGCAGAGTATCTTTTCTCTGACCTCCAGCCTCCCTCTTATATGGACACAGGTGATTATATTAGCCTACCTGCCTAATCCAGGATAATATCCCCATCTCAAGATTCTGAATTTAATCACATCTATAAAAGTCCTTTTGCCATGTAAAGTAACATATAATCACAGGCTCCACAGATTAGGGTGTGAGCATTTGCATCGCAGAGAAAAAGCCTACCATGACCCCTTGCGTCCCAGGGATAAAGCCTACCATGATCAAGTAGGCTTTATCCCTGAGAGGAAAGGTTGGTTCAACATATGCAAATCAATACATGTGATTCATCACATAAACAGAAATGAAAACAAAAACCACATAATTATCTCAATACATGCAGAGAAGGCTTTCAATAAAATTCAACATCCCTTCATGTTAAAAACCCTCAATAAACTAGGCATTGAAGGAATATACTTCAAAATAATAAAAGCAATCTATAAAAAACCCACAGCCAACATCATACTGAATGGAAAAAGCTGGAAGCATTCCCCTTGAAAACCGGCATAAGACATGGATGCCCTCTCTCACCACACCTATTCAACATAGTACTGGAAGTCCTGGCCAGAGCAATCAGGCAAGAGAAAGAAATGAAAGGCATCCAAGTAAGAAGAGAGGAAGTTATACTATTCCTGGTTGCAAAAGACATGAATCCGTATGAGAAAACCCCATAGTCTTGGTCCAAAAGCTCCTTGATCTGATAAACAACTTCAGAAAAGTTTCAGGATACAAAAGCAATGTACAAAAATTTAGCATTCCCATACATCAACAACATTCAATCTGAGGGCTAAATCAGGAATGCCATCCCATTCACAACTGCCACAAGAAGAATAAAATACCTAGAAATTCTGCTAACCAAGAACGTAAAACATCTCTACAATGAGAATTACAAAAAACTGCTGAAAGAAATCAGAGGTGCCACAAACAAATGGAAAAACATCCCATGCTCATGGATACTAAGATTCAGTATCATTAAAATGGCCACACTGGTCCAAAGCAATTTATAGATTCAGTGCAATTCCTATCAAACTACCGATGACATTGTTCACAGCATTAGAAAAAAACTATTTTAAAATTTGTATGGAACCGAAAAAGAGCCCTAATAGCCAAGGCAATCCTAAGAAAAAAGGAAAAAGCTAGAGGCATCACCTTACCCAACTTATACTAGAGGGCTACAGTATCCAAAACAGCACGGTACTGGAAAAAAAAAAAAAAAAACAGATATATAGACCAATAGAATAAATAGAGAACCCAGAAATAGTGCAACACACCTACAAAAAAATATGATCTTCAACAAAGCTGACCAAAACAAGCAATGGGGAAAGGACTCCCCATTTTATAAAGGGTGCTGGGATAAGTGACTAGCTCTATGCAGAAGATTGAAACTGGATGCCAACTTTGCACCACATACAAAAATCAACTCAAGATGGATTAAACACTTAAATGTTAAAATGAAAACTATTAATATAAAAACTCTGGAAGATAACCTAGGAAATACCATTCTGGACATAGGACTTGGGAAACATTTCATCATGAAGATGCCAAAAGCAATTGCAACAAAAACAAAAATTGACAAATGAAGCCTAATTAAACTAAAGAACGTCTCACAGTAAGAGAAACTATCAACAGTGGAAACAGACAACCTACAAAATGAGAGAAAATATCTGCATACAATGCATTTGACAAAGGTCTAATATCTGGCATCTAGAAAGAACTTAAACAAATTTATAAGAAAGAAACAATGCCGTTTAAAAGTCAGCAAAAGACATGAACAGACACTTTCCAAAAGAAGGTACACATGCGGCCAAGCATATGAAAAAATGCTCAATATCATTAATCATTAGAGAAATGCAAATCAAAACCGCAATGAGATACCATCTCGTACCAGGTGGAATGGCTATTATCAAAAAGTCAAATTATTAATAACAGATACATCAAGGTTATGGAGAAAAGGGAATGCTTATACACTGCTGGTGGGAATGTAAATTACCTTAGCTATTGTGGAAAATGGTGTAATGATTCCTCCAAGAACTTAAAACAGAACTACTCTTCCACCAAGCAATCCCATTAGCGGGTATATACCCAAAGGAATATAAATCATTCTACCATAAAGACATATGCACGAGTATGTTCATTGCAGCACTGTTCACAACAGCAAATACATGAAATCAACCTAAATGCCCATCAACAGTAGATTGGGTAAAGAAAATGTGGTACATAGACCCCATGGAATACTATGCAGTCATAAAAAGAATGAGGTCATTTCCTTTGCAGCACCATGGATGGAGCTGCAGGCCATCATCCTAAGCAAACTAAATGGAAAAGAGCCAAATACCACATGTTCTCACTTATAAGTGGGAGCTAAACATAAGAACACATGGATACTAGAAGGTGAACCACATGCACTGGGGTCTACTTGACGGTGGAGGGTGGGAGGAGGAAGAAGATCAGAAAAAATACCTATTGAGTACTATGCTTATTACCTGGATGATGAAATTATCTGTACTCCAAACCCCTGTGATGCGCAGTTTACCTGTATAACAAACCTGCACATATACCCATGAACCTAAAATAAAAGTTAAAAAAACCTAAACCCCAAATTACCTTAAACCTTTATGAGTTTTTACATTTGAAAGTTAAATCGATAACTTAATGACAATAATTCAACTCTCTCATGCTTATCCCCCTCATCTAACCCAAAACAAAACAAGATGGGATGCTGAGGTGAGGAACCTTTGAATTTTTAAATAGTATTAGGTCTAGCAGAGCCTCAGAAAGACACGTTTACATTAAGAGGACTTTGACTATTGATATGGGCATGTAAGTTCTTTACTGCCACGTTCCTAGTAATTCCTGAATTGCACATGTATGAAATGACATTAATTCTCTCATACTTTAGGGTTGCTTGTTAGTGCCTAGAAGGAATACAGTCTCTGTGGCCAGTCTCCTTGGATCAACAAGAGCCTTGTAGTTTCCCATTTTTCATGTGCTAATAGTGAAAATGTTTAGAAAGCCCCATCTATCCTCCCACATTGGCATCCCACTGATGTGCTGTCCTGGTTGCTAGGTGCAGATTTAGGTTCCAAGCAGAACACTGCTAGTGTTCTCTGCAGTTTGTTGTAGAATCATAGTGTCTTGGCAACCAAAGGCAGATCTGGTGCTATGGAGGACCTGCTTACTGCTATGAGGTGTTACTTTATAGAGGTCCTGGAGAAGCTGATTGAGGCCACGTCAATGTTGCAAGGAGACATGAGACTCACATCAGAGTTCTATGGCTTAACATGGGGGATGGTGGTAAGTGCGGCTCTATTTGGATTTTGTAATTATAAAAGCCCACTTTATGTAGAGAGAAAAAAAAGAGTTTACCAGAGAAGTTTCTTCTGTAGTTGAAGACAAATGTAATGTTTTAATAAATTAGGCTGATTAAAAAAGAATATGAGCTTGGTGTGGTGGCTCATGCCTGTAATCCCAGCGCTTTGGGAGGCTGAGGCGGGTGGATCACCTGAGGTCAGGAGTTTGAGACCAGCCCGGCCAACATGGTGAAATTCCGTCTCTACTAAAAATACAAAAAATTAGCCAGGCATGGTGGCAGGTCCTGTAATCCCAGCTACTTGGGAGGCTGAGGCAGGATAATCCTTGAACCTGGGAGGCAGAGGTTGCAGTGAGCCGAGATCACGCCATTGTACTACAGCCTGGGCAATGGGAGTGAAACTTTGTCTCTTAAAAAAAAAACGAGTATGAAGAGTATAAATTATTTTTCATGGAGTCCTGCCCTTAGAACAAGGCATTAAATCCTCTAAGTGTATAGGAAATTTGAGTTCAAAATAGATGCTTTGAAAAAAAGGAATGTTTTTGAAAAATGCGAATTTTTACAGATTTACAATGTAGAAGTGCAGTTGTGTTCCATGGATATATTGCATAGTGGTGAAGTCTGATTTTTCAATGTATCCATCATCCAAATAAAATACATTGTCCTCAGTAGGTAGTCTTTCATCCCTCAACCCTTTCCCAGCCTCCCACCTTTTGGAGTCTCCAATGCCTATATTTCACTCTATATCCACATGTACCCATTGTTTAGCTCCCACTTATAATTGATAATATGTAGCATTTGGCTTTTTGTTTCTGAGTTCTCTTAAGCCAATGGCCTCCAGTTACAGTCACGTTGCTGCAAAAGACATGATTTCAGTCTTTTTATGGCCAAGTAGTATTCTAAAGTGTGTATATATGTATACCACATTTTAGAAATCCAATAGTCCACTGATGGACACTCAGGCTGATTTTATTACTTTGCTATTGTGGATAGTGCTGCGATATACATAGACACATAGGTTTCTTTTTGATATAATGATTTCTTTACCTTTAGCTTGATATCCAGTAATGGGATTGCTGGATCGAATGGTAGCTCTATTTTTAGTTCTTTGAAAAGTCTCCATACTGTTTTCCACAGAGGTTGTACTAATTTACATTCCCACCAATAGTGTATGTAATCCTTTTCTCTATACCCTCGGCAAAATTTTTTTTTTCTGAATTTAATAATGGCCATTTTGACTGGCATAACATAATATCTCACTGTGGTTTTAATTTGCAGTTCTCTTATGATTAGCATTTGTTCATATGATTATTGGCCATTTATATGTCATCTTTAAAAAAAAAAGAACACCTTAAAGTTCAGAATGAATTACATTCATGGCTAGGTTTAGAATATGGGTTCCGTTACTGGAAGATGTGTTGAAGTCTTTTAAATAGTGAGAAGCTAATGCCAAAATAGCCTTAAAACTATGTCAGAAGAGGAAAAAAAACAACTTAAGACAGCAAAAAAAAAAAAAAAAATTGGGTTTGGATGAGCATTTCAATCTTGAGAAAAACCTAACGTGTTTGCAAAAGAAACTCAAGGATTGGATGACAAGTTTACCACTGGGCAAAAGGATATTTATATCCTTGGATTAAGTGTTAAGTGATAAGAAATCAAATCAAATAACTGAGTAAACAGTTGATGAATATTCCCTACTATACTTGGAGAAGATAAAATGGATGCTGGGACTTAGAATTGGATCAAATCAGAACAAGTACCAATCAATGTTCAGTCAAAGGTGATTGATTTGTTTATGCTTCTTAAAATACTTTTTTTTTTCTTTTTTGTGATGGAGTCTTGCTCTGTCGCCCAGGCTGGAGTGCAGTGGTGCAATCTCAGCTCATTGCAACCTCCATCTCCCGGTTTCAAGTGATTCTCCTACCTCAGCGTCCCGAGTAGCTGGGATTACAAGCATGCACCACCAATTCTGGCTAATTCTTGTATCTTTAGTAGAGACAGTGTTTCACCCTGTTGCCCAGTCTGGTCTCAAACTCCTGACCTCAAGTGACCCTCCCACTTTGGCCTCCCAAAGTGCTGGGATTACAGGTGTGAGCCACCGTGCCTGGCCTCTTACAAGACTCTTCATGGAGAGAGAAATAAAATAGAAATTAGGTTGTATGAATAACATTGAATCTTGAAGCCTTTAAAAATCACACTGAACATATTCGGCATGAATTAAGCATTTTTTAAAATTATACTTTAAGTTCTGGGGTACATGTGCACAATGTGCAGGTTTGTTACATAGGTATACATGTGCCATGTTGATTTGCTGCACCCATCAACTCGTCATTTACATTAGGTATTTCTCCTAATGCTATCCCTCCCCCAGTGCCCCCCACCCCCCGACAGGCCCTGGTGTGTGATGTTCCCCACCCTGTGTCCAAGTGTTCTCATTGTTCAACTCCCACTTATAAATGAGAACATGCAGTGTTTGGTTTTCTGTCCTTGTGATAGTTTGCTGAGAATGATGGTTTCCAGTTTCATCCATGTCCCTGCAAAGGGCATGAACTCATCCTTTTCTATGGCTGCATAGCATTCCACTGTGTATATGTGCCACATTTTCTTTATCCAGTGTATTATTGATGGACATTTGGGTTGGTTCCAAGTCTTTGCTATTGTGAGTGCCACAATAAACATACGTGTTCATGTGTCTTTATAGTATAATGATTTATAATCCTTTGAGTATATACCCAGTAATGGGATCGCTGGGTCAAATGGTATTTCTAGTTCTAGATCCTTGAGGAATCGCCACACTGTCTAAGCATTTGTCTAGTAAGAAAATGTAATTTGAAAGTAAGGTTCAGAACATTTAACCAAATGTTCAAGTAATTTCTAAACTGTATTGAGAAAATGGAATAAAGTTTCATAGATTATTTGTATTAGAAAAAGTTAATTAGAAAGTTTTCAAATGCACATTAAGTGATAGATACACACACACACAAAACAAAAATTCTTAGAGAAAAAAATGAAAAAACTGACCTGTTCTTATCAAAGACATGATTTCCCACATTTAAAAAACCTTGTAATAGTTGATTTACAGTTAAGTTGACTGATGGAAATCTCACTGATTTAAGAAAATCTATATGAAAGTCCAGATACCAGTATTTTTTCCTATAAAAAGCTACGTAGTCAATATTAAGGCTTTGTAAACCAAGACACAAAACTGGAGTATTATGAAAGTACTTATATAACAAAATTAAAAATAAATTCTCACAATTTTTTTTTGTTGCTGAAACAAAAGCACTGAAAATAATAAATACTAGCAAGAATGCAAAGTGAGGGAAACTCTCTTTGATTGCTGGTAGAAATGCAAAGTGGTGCAACCACTTTGACTATTTGGCAATTTTTATAAAGTTTAATATAGTCTTGCCATATGACTTAACAATCACATTCCTAAGTATTTACCCTAGTGAATTAAAACTTAGGTCCGTGTAAAAATCTGCATGCAAATGTTTATATCAGTTTCATTCATAATTACTCCAAACTGTAAGCAACCCATGCCCTTCAACAGGGGAAAGATAATCTTGGGTATTTCCACACAATGATCTATGATTTTGTGGAAGTTGATTGATCAATGAATACTATTGATCAATGGGATGGAATGAGCTACTGATACATGCAACAACATGAATATATGTTAAGGGTATTTTACTAAATGAATGAAGCCAGACTTCAAAGTCTGAATATTGTATGATTTCATTCATAAGACATCTGGGGAAAAAAAACCCACTGGGATGGAAACACATCAGTGGTATCCAGGGCTTAGTGTAAGGGAGATTAGTTTATTACAAAGAAGACACACAGGGGAATTTTTAAATGATGGAGTTGTTTTGTATGGTGCTGCACTAGTAATACACAAGTCCATGATTTATTAATCCCTAAGTAGTGTATCACAAAATTGCACTCAAATGCATGCAAATAAACAAGCAAAAATATCACCAAGATGTGGGAAGATCCTAGAATGGTATGACAGTGGCAAATCAACCTCACTTTATATAAATATGTAAGCTAACAACACTGAAAAGGGTAGAGAAGAAGTAAAAAGTGGCCTAACTTACCTTGAGAAATAATGTTTTGATTAAAAAATGTCAGACTGTAGACAAAAGTAACTTTGCATAAATATGGTATTCTGAATAGTAAATTTGTTTCTCATGCGGGTTCAGCTAATTCTGTAATTGCTTCACATGCATACCAGTTGAACAAAAATATTAAAATATGAACAGTGGCATCCAGGTTTCTCCCTGTTGGTAAGAGAAGTTACAGAGAAGCAAGAAAGGAAGGCCAGAATGACCATTAGGGACTGTGTTAGAGTCAGAGTTATCACTATGACCTCATGTTTAAACACAAGCCCAAATGCACATGGACACACACAGATGGACAAATAAGGAAACAACGACAGATATGTGTGTATTCAGGGCTTACTGTGTAGACACACATTACCTAGCCCTTTCTGCTGAAATAGCCTAGAAACAATGTTACCCTCATAGCAATGTGCACATGTCACACTCAGATAATGTTTTCTAATGCCATTTTCCAGTGAAAAGAAACAGAGATCGTTGGAGAAATGTCTGATTATAAGATATTTCTAAGCCTGGTGAAGAAATATATAAGAGAAGCCTGGAGAAGAACCAGTAATACCAGAAATCAGGGAGGGGCCCTGAAGAGAAAAGGATAACAAAAGGATGAAGACCTGTCCAAGGGACCCAGCAGCTAACTTGAAAGAGCTCTCAATGGGTAAAGCTGGAGCAATTTCAACAACAAAATAAATAACATATCACTGGATTATAACCTGAAGTATAAAACGTATGAGTCCATACTCTTATAAATAAATGATTGAATAAATACATAAATGAGAAGAAGGGAGAAATCTTCCTTACTAGTCTATTAATAGTCCCCACTTTCAGATGTGGAGCTCATGATCTCCTTTGTTAAGTGTAGGCTGGACTCAGTGACTGTCTTCCAAGGAATAGAGTATGGACAGGTAACAATTGTAAGTTTCAGTTTTATTTAGTGAAAACACTACCTTAACCAAGTGATTAAAGTCAGCACCATCAGTGATGCCATGTAGATATTATGTAACCCCTGCTCTGATGGGATAAAAAGGGCACTTTACCTCTGTGGTCTCCTCTGCAAAAATTCAAAGGCCCAGTGTAATTGATGGCAGCTGAAACCCATCTGGACTGTGATGCCGGCTGTAGTAGGGGAGATGCAGGTGTGGCTGTGCGCTCCGTGGAGCCCCTGGAGCCGGGAACAGGCGGAAGCCCCAACCCCTTATGAGTTGACAGGGCAAGAGCCTTGTGCTCCCCAGGCTCAGCTGCAGTTGCCCAGCAGCGGCTGTGGACAGGACATCCCTGTGCGCTTGGGGTTCAGGAGCAGGCAGAAGCCCCACCCTCCCTGGTGCAGCTGCAGCTGCTCAAGCTGTGTCTACAAACCTGGGCATCCCTGTGTTCTTGGGTGCCAGGAGTAAGAGCCCTGCCCTCCTGGGCGCAGCTGCAGATGCCCAAGCTGCAGCGGCAGACCCGGGCATCTCTGCACTCTTGGGGGCCTGGGAAAGCCCTTTTTGCCCCCGCAGGCTTGGAGGTGCCTGCTCCTGGTGTCTGATCTCTCCCTGCTCCTGGTGCGTGCTCTGATCTCGGAGCGTGGTTGAGGCCAGGCCCAGGTGCTATTGCAACCTGGCCTGGTGTGCCCACACTTGGGGCAGCACTGACATGCCAGTCTTCTGCCACCTCAGCCCCCTCTGGGCTTTGGGCACCAGTAAGCAAGGGAGGGAGGCTGGAGGGGGTGCTGCTGAGGGCAGCTTGGCGCTGGCCTGCAGGTGCCTCTTGGCAGGAACAGCCTGGGCACCGTCAACAGTGGCAGGAGGCCCACAGGCTCCTGGGCAGAAAGGGACGGGTCCCCGGTGAGGCCCCACCTTCAACTCAGGGAAGGATTGAAGCCTGGGAGACGGGCTGCCAGCCTCGCAGACTGGAGTGGGGACTTACGATGCTTTTTCCAAGCCTGCCCGTGGCTGCCCAAGGACCAATCAGCAAGCACTTCCTTTCCTCTGAAGTCCATAAAAATTCCCAGACTCAGCCAGACACAAAAAGATGTCAGGACAACCAGCTGCAGAGAGGAATTACCTACCCTAGGGTCTCTTTTCTGCTGAGACCTGAACACTCTGTGGGATGACCTGTCTGAGGAGAGGAGCTACCCACTCCAGGGTCTCCTCTCTGCGGAGAGCTGAACACTCGTTAGGACACCCTGGCTATGGAGAGGAGCGGGTTTCCTCTCAGCTGTTCTATTGTTCAATAAAGCTCCTCTTCACCTTACTCACCCTCCACTTATCCACATACCTCGTGAGTGTGGGACAAGAACTTGGGACCCACTGAATGGCATGGCTGAAAGAGCTGTCACACAAACAGGGCTGAAACATGCCCTTTCCTCACCTCATTGTGGTTGACATAAAGGAGATAAGAGATGCAACTCTTTGGGGAGCCCAGACCTAGGAGCTCCCTGAGCCAGGGCTGTGACACCCTTTTGGGTGGTTCTGTGGTTCCTGGTGCGGAAGCTGCTTGCAGTACACCTGGTCCAGCCGCAGACTTGCAGGGAGATGGCACCCCTGTCAGTGCCTGGAACTGCCTGCCCTGCTGCAGCAAGCATGCCTGGCTGTGTGCAGTAGCTGGACCCCACACTTGCTCCCTCATACACACCTGCCACAGTAAACATACTGCAGTATGTTGGGAGATATTGGATTTTACCAAAAGCTTTTTCAGCATCTATTGAGATGATCATATGGCTTTTCCTTTTAATTCTGTTTATGTGGTGAATCACATTTGTAGATTTGCAGATGTTCAACCAATCTTGCATGCCAGAAATAGAGCCTTCTTGATTGTGGTGTATTAACTTTTTGATGTGCTGCTGGATTTGTTTGATTAGTATTTTCTCAAGGATTTTTCCTTCTATGTTCATCAGGGATATTGGATGGAATTTTTTTCTTTTCTTTCTTTTTTTTTTTTTTTATTAAGCTAACTCACCTAACTTAGTGTGGGTCACATATCTTGGCTTGATAATCCCAAGCTGTGCTTAGAAACCCAGGTAGCACCAGGACATCCTGCAGCTCAGGGTTGGGCTCTGGCTGCACTGTGGGATCTGATATGCTTCTGGGTTGCTGGGAAAGTACTCAGGTGAAGCAAGGCATTCAGCTGGGCTGTGCAAGCTGCACAATGCACCTGCTTCTCCAGGGCAGCTAGGCATAGGACCTGAGAGGAGCCTGCAGGCAGGAGGGCTTGCAGAACAGATGTGTCTTAGTCCCATAGGGAAGCCAGCCCTGCTCTCCTTTGGCTTGACAGTCAGCTGAGTCAAGAGCCTTGCAGAGGGAGATGGGAAGCTCTCAGGGATGTGTGTCTATGGCTACCCTCCACCAAAGCTGCCCAGCACACAAAAGCTCCCAGGCTCTGCACTGTCTGAAGTACTGTCTCTGCCTGTTCCCCAGGGAGATACCCCTGCCAGCTAACACATTTATGGGGGATATGGGGTCTCTCATAGCTAGGATCCCAGAGGTACATGACAAGAGTGAGCTGTCCCTCAGTTCCCTGGCTCACCAATTTCCCAGGAGCCATCTGGGGCTGGGAACTAGCCCTGGCATTCAGGTACCACTTCAGGGTTTCCAGATTTCTGACTCTACAGCCTCAGCTTCAGCTTTGCTTCTCCATACACTCAGTGTTTTCTCTCCTAAGATCACACATTGACTTTGTATCCTGAGACTTTGCTGAATTTGCTTATCAGCTTAAGGAGATTTTGGGCTGAGATGATTAAATCAACCAATTTATGTTGATTAACTCAATAATTTGGTCTCTCTCGGTGAAAGCAGTGCTTCCTGGCTGCAACTAATTGGACATCTTGTCCCTTCCCATCTGTGTAACACATTTTTTATACATGCTTTATTTTGTCATAATTTTAGCTTTACAGAAAAGTTGCAAAGATGGCAAAGAATTCCCATATACACCTCAACCAGTTTCACTTTCACTTAATGTTACATTTCTCTGGTACATTTTTCAAAATTCAGAAACTAACATTGGTATGTTACTACTACCAAAACTCTAGACTATCTTTGGATTTCAGCAAGATTTTCTTTAACATCCTTTTTTTGTTGCAGAATCCCATCCAGGACACTCCATTGCCTTTAGTTGTCATGTGTTTCAGTTTCCTGAATCTCTGTTATCTTGTTTTTCATGATGTTGATAATTCTGAGTACTGCTCAGGTATCTTACAGAATGCACTTCAATCATGGTTTGTCCAATGTTTTCTAATGGTTATGTTACGGGATCCTTGGGTTATCACTTCACCAGCTGAAAACCTCTGTGGCTAGTGGCACTTATGCTGGGGTTTTGCTCAGGCCCACTGGCCCACTCAGCCTGGCAGCCTGTGCTCAGCTTACATTACCAGCCTGGATACTGCACACAGCCAGGCATGCTTGCTGATATTTCTGGTTCTAGATCCTTGTGGGAGTGTAAATTAATTCAACCATTGTGGAATGCCACAGTAAACATACATGTACATGCATGTTTATAGTAGAATGATTTATAATCCTTTGGGTATAAACCCAGTAATGGGATTGCTGGGTCAAATGATATTTCTGGATCTGGTTCTAGATCCTTGTGGAATTGCCACCCTGTCTTCCACAATGGTTGAATTAATTACACTCCCACCAACAATGTAAAAGCATTCCTATTTCTCCACATCCTCTCCAGCATCTGTTGTTTCCTGACTTTTTAATGGTCACCATTCTAACTGGCGTATGATGGAATCTCATTGTGGTTTTGATTTGCGTTTCTCTAATGATGAGTGATGATGAGCTTTTTTCATGTTTGTTGGCTACATAAATGTCTTCTTTTGAGAAGTGTCTGTTCATATCATTTGCCCACTTTTTGATGGGGTTGTTTTTTTCTTGTAAATTTGTTTAAGTTCTTTGTAGACTCTGGATATTAGCCCTTTGTCGGATGGATTGCAAAAATTTTCTCCCATTCTGTAGGTTGCCTGTTCACTCTGATGATAGTTTCTTTTGCTGTGCAGAAGCTCTTTAGTTTAATTAGATCCCATTTGTCTATTTTGGCTTTTGTTGCTATTGCTTTTGGTGTTTTAGTCATGAAGTCTTTGTCCATGCCTATGTCCTGAATGGTATTGCCTAGGTTTTCTTCTAAATCTTTTATGGTTTTAGGTTTTATGTTTAAGTCTTTAATCCATCTTGAGTTAATTTTTGTATAAAGTGTAAGGAAGTGGTCCAGTTTCTGTTTTCTGCATGTGGCTAGCCAGTTTTCCCAACACCATTTATTAAATAGGGAATCTTTTCCACATTGCTTGTTTTTTTCAGGTTCATGGAAGATCAGATGGTTGTAGATGTGTGGTGTTATTTCTGAGGCCTCTGTTCTGTTCCATTGGTCTATATATTTGTTTTGGTACCAGTACCATGCTGTTTTTAAAACCTGTTTTATAAAAAAGGGAATTATTGTGAGACTTCAATGAGCCAGTGCATACACATCTAGATTTTGGACAGTGCCTGAAACATAGGAAGGATCTAATGAATGTAAGCCAGTTATCATTAATAGTATGATTAGCATTAATCATTAGTAATAATCATTACTCATAATATTGAGTCATTATTTCAGCTTGTCATGTGTATGAAAAAGCAGAGATATAATTTATTATTGGTAATCCCAGTGCTTATTGTAATTTTATAATATTATGATATGAAATGATTAAATGTATATGTCACTTCTTTGTTTCTAGCATAGTGCAGAGAACATAGTTTCCTCATAAGTGAAAGTCAAGTCAATAGTAGGAGATATTTGGTTATCTGAAGGGCATAGCTGATAACAGTAATTGACTCAGCAGCTCTTCCTTCTTATTCTATTATTTTCACAGCCTCTACTCCTCTTCACCTTTTATATGGCACTGGTGCCAGTTCATTTATCAATTCTTTTTTTTTTTTTTTTTTTGCATTATCAGTAAATAAACTTATCCCTTGACAAGAGAATGGTGATTCCACTGTTATCTTAAACCTTTTCTTATTTATGCATCCTGCATATATCAAAAGAAACCTCAAATACCACTGATTCTTTTTCAATTAAAAAATTCCCACTGACTTTTTTATGTGTGGAGATATAATAAGCAAATTTTCATTCAAAAGTTTCAAAGGATAAGAAGGATTTTTGGAATCACTAAAAATACTTGATATTTATTTCAAGGTTCCCTGGAAACAAATTGGACATTCTGATTACTTAACATGATGCAACCCAGAGGTAATGATGTAGGTTAGATGATCTTGAAAGACCCTTCCCAATCATGGTAACATAATTCTCTGTGGTAGACACCACTCGCCTTTATTCTAAGTGTCCTAGAGATATCCATGCCTTTCTTTGTGTTGTGTTTCAAGGAAGTCTGGTGCAAAGACTGATACATGCAATGATGTTTTGAGCTTTCAACTCTTTTGCCATTCTGACTCAACTACCTTTTGCCCACAGATTGAGAATAAAATTATCATGTATCTTGCACTGCCTTAAGAACATATAAGTAAAAATCTTAAGATGAGGTAAAAGTGTGTTACAGATAATGTCTTCAGTCACCGGGATATTTTTGACTGACATGGGCTGTCCTTGCCAGGTTCCTAATGGATTTCCACAATGAGAAGCTGATTTTATAGACATTAGTAACATTTGCACTGTCACAGAGAGAAGGTTGTGGCTTTTAATAAAACCAGCCAGTATTTATTAAAGTCCTACTATTCTCACAATGTTGTGTCCTTTATTTTAACCTTAGGGATTCTGAGTCCCTCAAGTTTAATTGGTCATTGTGTCCCCAGAGGCAATAAGTTAACTCTATTCCCAATTGCACTGGTGGCATAATACTGACACATAGGTAGTTCACAAATTCTAAAACTAGGGTGAAGATTAGAGTTATAAAACATGAACTATGAAAAATAGGTTTGGAATGTATTAATTTGAAGAGCATAAGGCTAAATAAACATACAGCCACAAATTTCTTTATTTTTCATTTTTAAATTTTATAGCTGTATTGAGATATAATTTATTTACAATACAGTTCACCCATTTAAAGTGTACAAGTCAATGATTTTTGGTATATTTCATTACTAATTTATAACATTGTGGTAATATATAACATAAAATTTGCCATTTTAACTATTTTTAAGTGTACAATTTAATGGTGTTAATTATATTCATACTATTGTGTAAATCTTGCCACTATTTTCTAAACTTTTTCGTCATCCCAAACAGAAACTCTAACCCTTAGTGATAACTCTCCATTCCCCTCCCCCATCCCCTAGTAACTTTCAACCTACCTTATGTCTGTATGAATTTGCATGTTCCAGATATTTCATATTATTGGAAACATACAATTTTTGCCCTTTTAGGTCTGGCTTATTCATTTAGCATAAGATGTACATATTGCTTTATAGCCTGCTTTTTCACTTAGCAGCATATTGTGAGAATGTTCATGGTTAGGCAGGGACTAGGCAGTGGAGTTGGGTGGAATTTTGCAAACCATACTTAGGAGTTTGGATTCTGTTTTGTAGGACTTGGTCTCAGGGTCAAATAGGGAGTCTTTTGATGGTGTATATAGGAAAATGGTATTTCTATTGTTTACTGATTTTTTTGTGATGAATATGCTTGGACTAAATCTCCCAAAGATCTGTGGTTAAAATATTATTTATATCATATGATGTCATTTAACATAAATTAACACACTGAAGTTTAAGGTTAGCATTAATTCACTGGAGCAGAACAAGTAGAAATAATGAGATTGCAACTGGAATAGTTTTTGAAAATAAGAAGATTTATGCAATGTATAACTTAATAAGTGCTCACCAAAGATTTTCAGTGAAATAAAGAAAATTATAATTAAATTAAATATCTAGTATCAGCCTGGATATAGCCTGGATATATATTGTTTGTTTGTTTTGTTTTGTTTTGTTTTGTTTTTAAGACAGGATCTCACTCCCATGGCCCAGGCTGGAGTGCAGTGGTGCGATCACAGGTCACTGCAGCCTCGACTTCCCAGGCTGAGGTCATCCTCCCGCCTCAGCTGCCTGAGTAGCTGGTACCACAGGTGCACGCCACCAAGCCCAGCTAATTTTTGTATCTTTTGTAGAGATGGTGTTTTAATACATTGCCCAGGCTGGTCTCCAGCTCCTGGGTTCAGGCCATCCACCTGCCTTGGCCTCTCAAAGTGCTGGGATTACAGGTGTGAGCCATGGCACCTGGCCACATGCTCGTATTTTAATGTATTTGTTTCCCCTTACTTTTCTTTTGTGTATCATTTTTTTGTTTTGAGATGGAGTCTTGCTCTTTTCGCACACGCTGGAGTGTAATGGCACGATCTCGGCTCACTGCAACCTCCGCCTCCTGGGTTAAAGCAATTCTCCTGCCTCAGCCTCCTGAGTAGCTGGGATTACAGGCACCCACCACCATGCCTGGCTAATTTTGTATTTTTAGTAGAGACGGGGTTTCTCCATCTTGGTCAGGCTGGTCTCGAACTCCCGACCTCAGATGATCTGCCTGCCTTGGCCTCCCAAAGTGCTGGGACCTCACCTGTAGTGTGAGCCACCTCCCGGCCATATCATGTATTTTTATAAATTGTAAACTGACATATGTAAAACAATCATTTTCTAATTTATAAAATTTTCTTGATATGCAGTTTTTGAAGCTATGTAACATTCTTTTTTAAATTAATAATTCATATATACATTATATATGTACATGTATATACTTTCTCATTCTTCTACAATTAAATATATTTTCTGAATTTGTCACCTTATACTATAGATCATTCAGAATAAAGTGCTTTCCATATGTGATCTCTTTTAGACTGTTTATCAGAAATGACGTCAGTGAATTAAAAGTATTAGTATAGGCTGGGTGAGGTGGCTTACACTGTAATCCTAGCACTTTGGGAGGCTGAAGTGGGAGGATTACTTGAATTCAGGAGTTTGAGACCAGCCTGGGTGACATGATGAACTCCTGTTTCTACTAAAAATGCAAAAAAAAAAAATTAGCCAGGCATGGTGGTGCATACCTATAGTGTCAGCTACTCTGAAGACTGAGGTGGGAGGATTGCTTGAGCCTGGGAGGTGGAGGTCACAGTGAGCCAAGATTGTGCCAGTGCACTCCAGCTGGGGCAACAAAGCAAGACCCTGTCTCAAGAAAAAAAATTTTTAGAAGTGTTAGTATATAACAAATACATATTTCGAATTGCTTTTAAAAGGAATAGAATTGTTTGGACTTGAATTATAATAGAAAAGTAATTTTAGACAACTTATAAAAGCATAAATCTCACAAACATCATTGAAGAGATATACATATGTGTGTGTGTATATATATATATATATATGCCTCCTCTTTTGATTTTCCTTATATCTTTTCAATTTTAATGTTGAATCCTAAATTATCCTCAGGGTTGTAAAGTTGCTTTTATTTTCCCTATTCCCCTTTAAATCCTAAGGTATACAATAGTGGTACTTCCTGTCATATCTTCATTTGCATTAGCAGTCAGACCCCTGAAATAAATCAGACAGATATTGGGATGACAGTAGCAAATTACCACAGATTGAAATAAGTAGTAGCCCCAATTGAATCTGCTGGAAGAGATATGTTATCCTTGATAGAGTATATTAGCATGTTACTGAGTACCCTGTATGCATACATTGATCTGGTAAATGTTTTCTTTTTCATCCTTATCAGGAAACATGATCAGGGAGTTTGCACTCACTTGGAGCTGACAATACTATACCATGTCCCAGAGCTATGCTAGGTTTTTCATCTTCCATCATAAAATACTGAAGAGAACGGGACTAGCTGTATATTCTGTAGGCCGTCACACTGGCCAACTATATCTAACACATCATGCGTATCAGACAATATGAACAAGAAGTGGTCAATACATTAAAAGCCTTGATAAGACACATGTGATCCAGAGAGTGAGTGTTGCACTCCATAAAGATTCAGGGACCTAAAGCATAAAAGTTTTAAGTGTTTATTGGTCTGGGGCACTATGAGACATTCTATCTAAAGTAAAGGATACATTTTTGCATTATGCATTTCCTATCATAAAAAAGAAGCAAAGTGCCTGGCAGACCTCTCTGTACTTTGTAGTAAGCATATTTGACACTATCGAGTACTGTTCTAATTCATCCACTAGGTGCTGTATTTGAATGGCCTTCAGGGTAAGAATGGGCTCTATAGCAAGTCTAAATTTCACCATAAATGAGGTGGAATTTATGGCAAGTTTATGGGAAGATCATAACAAAATTCTTAGGGTTTTGATAAAACTCTGCTATCTACAGCACAGGATTGTATACATTTCAAAAATAAAGCCCTGGTGTTTTACTGAATTCTGGGTAGAGAAATAACATCTGACCATGGAACAACAAATAACCATGCAGGCAAAACTACCCATATGAGCTGGGGACTGTCTGAACCATCAAGTTATTAGGTTGAGTGGATACAGAGCAATCACTGTAACACGGCATTAGTACATCCAGGATTGACCACAGCATGACTAGAGGGCAGAGGCAAACAGTATGAGCAAGTAGCCCAGGACTTCATGCTATTCACCACTTTTGCATCAATATCTCTTCTTCAGACCACACTTACGCCTCCAAGAGAGAACACTTCCAACTCTAATGGAGGAGAAAAATGTCAAGCTTGGTTCATTAATGGGTCAGCTTGCTATGTGAGTCCAAGTCAAAAAGGATGAAGATAAATTATAGCCTCGCTTACGGTGATCTTGAAAAATAGTAGTGAGGAAAACGCCTCCCAATGGACAGAGTTTCAGATGGTACCCAGTCATTCACTTTGTGTGGAAAGAGAAGTAGTTTGAAGTTAGAATATGTATAACTCATAGGTAGTGATAAATGGCTTAGGAGGCTTTTCAGGTGGCTGGAAAGAAAAAGATAGAAACACTTGGAAAAAAGAAGTCTGGAACAGAGGCACATGCATAAACATATAAGAGTGAAGGTATGAAGTGTTGCATTATTTGTATTACATGCTAAAACTACAAGATGGAATCCATCATAGAAAATGAATTAAGCAACTAGGTAGAAAATGTGACTTGGCGAGCAGTTATTGTCAAGAGCTTCTGACATTTGCCCTCATTATCCTACCTGCAATGCTAGAGCAATGAGCTTATGAATGAAGTCACCATGATAGTAGGGATAGAAGCAATGCATGGGTTTAACAGCATGCATTATAGCCACTGGTCAAACATCCAGTCTTCCATCAATAAGTGTCCCATGCAATGACTGGATAAAATAGTTTCCCATCAAAAGATCAACCAGTTATTTAATGTCAAGTTGATGACACTGGACTTTTTCTACTTTGAATGTAGCAATTTTTTTTGGTAGGAATAGATACACATACTCCAGGCATGGGTTTCTATTCCTGAACATAAGTTCTCAGCCAGCATGACTGTCTAAAGGCTTATAGGATGTTTGACGCAGCAGCAGGAGATCCCACATACCATTGTATCAGAAAAAAGGGCCGACTTAATGGCAAAGAAAGTGTAGGAGTGGACTTATGACCATGGAATCCATTGGCCATATCACATATTGCACTATCATAAGTGATCTATTAGAGTCATGGAGGGATCTGTTGAAGCTACACCTGAAATTCCAGCTCAGATGAAATGTCATCCTTCAAGACCCAGTACTTTAAATCAATTATCTTTCTATGGTGCTCTGTCCTCACTAGGAAGAATGCATGGTTTAGAAACCAAAAGGTGAAAGCCCTTCTTAGAATCCCTACCAGTAACTCATTTGAGAAATTTGTGTTTTTTTTCTCCACAATTATAAGCTCTGTGAGTTTAGAGGTTCTAGCTCTCTAAAGGGAAATATTCCCACTAGGGGGTACAAAAGGTACACTAGGAAGTGTATACTTTGTTTAATTATGATGGTAAATGACCAAAGGCAATGAGATTAACTAAAAAAAGCCATAGTGATCAGGGGCTCAGACACTTCCGGATCATGACACCAGGTAAACCACTGAGAGCAGGAGAGGTGCCAGATAAGGGTGAGAGCAACACAGAATGAATAGTAAGAAGGAGATGGTGACCATAGTTTGTAGGACTTAAGACCAGCCGCAGTGGTAGTCCTCTTCTAAGTTTCCTCCAGATACAGAGGCCCACTATAGCCCTGTAAGAGCTTTTCCCAGATCTTTTTTAATCAATTAATTAATTAATTTTTTTATACTTTAAGTTCTAGGGTACATGTGCACAACGTGCAGGTTTGTTACATGTGTATACATGTGCCATGTTGGTGTGCTGCACCCATTAACTCGTCATTTACATTAGGTATATCTCCTAATGCTATCCCTGCCCCCTCCCCCACCCCACACCAGATCTTATACAAAGGAGTAGATCTGAAATTAAAGGAATAGACAGTGTTGGAAGTTATAATGCTTTACTCAGATAACACTTTCAGAATGAAGGCATTATTACTTCAGCTGCTAGATGTGCTACAGGTAGATAGAGCTCAGCTGAGATCCTTCTTTCTGGGTTGCCTCAGCTAAACAGAGTTGCTTCATCTAAACATATGGCCCTTTTCCATGTAATCTGCATTCAACACTGACCAACAAGGAGATTTAAGGCTTGCCGTTGGCCTCAGCTCAGAACATCAATGAATTGTCATCTCATATTGAGAACTTCCTACAGGGTTCAGTGAAACTTTAGTAGTTTGCATTACAAACTTCCAAAGTAGGTAGTTTGCATTACTTCCTTTCCTCAATCATGCTACCCACCCTTTCCTTTGAAAGATGTTGATCCAAAAAATGTTCCCTAGTAAACTTTCTAAATGCTGATCTCCATCCCTGAGTCGGCTTCCAGGGAAACTCCATTCTCATCTCTCTCTATATATATATATCTATATATAAAATATATACATTATATATGTAATATATAAAATACATGTATAATATATAATACATATGTATTATATGTATACAGGGAACAAGAAGAGTGAAACATTTAAGAAAGAAAGTTAATTTAGGGATGCATTAGCCAGGTTGTGTGTAATGAGAGCTCAGTTCTCTAAAGGCCTTCTGAAAAGCACACAGGATGTTTTTGCCTGAAGGGAGAGCTGCTGGACCATTTATTCCTAGTTAAAATTCTTCATTGTTGGAGGATTTCCCCTAGGGTCATTAAGCATTTTGTACTTCTAGGCAGCACTTGTCTATATGCCAAATGGGCTCCCATGGTGTCAGACAAGCCTTGGGGCCAAGGGAAGCCCTATACAGCATACTTGAGGTAGGTCACTGTCAGTATGTGTGAGATAATCTGAGTTCACACACAACTGTCCCTTGCAGCTCTGCTGAAATTAGAGCTGGGCTGAAGAGATGTGATACACTGGTACTAGAGGCATCTACTTTAGAAGGTGAGATAGAAATGCTGTATTTTACATTTACAACCATAGGAATGGAGGTGTGCTGGCTTTTACCATGAACTCCCCCAGATAGTGTTCTGAAAAGCAGAGGAGGCCAACTAAAATAAAATCACAGGGAAAACTATATTTGCAGGAAGAAGATAATCTCAAGAGAAGCAGAGATTAAGAGTATTCTTGAATTTTGCATAGTAAAAACCATCTAGTCTAAGACTGTCTCCCCTAACCAAGGACCTTTTACAAATAGTTGATCCAGGGGGAAAAAAAAAAAGCATCTACTTCAATGATTAGTAATTTAAAAGGAACTGGAAGAGATAAGACATATGGATGCATACATATATAAAAATAGCTAGATAGAGACCTGCAGGTGATAATATACAAGAAAGAAAATGGGGAAAGGAAAAGCAATCTGAATAGACAAAAAACGAAACCAGTAGTTAGTGGTTATGAAGTGGATGAAAATCGAAGGGTGGGGTAAGAGGCAGGTTGATTCTGAACATGGAAAAATCTACAAGACTGAGATTCTTTAAAACATCAAACTACTCTTCTACTTTAATATAATATCAAACTCAAATTCACAACCAAAGTGGTAACATTTCATCACTAATTTGAAAAATTCTAAATAAAATAAAGGAAAAATAACACACACACAAAACAGAGAATATATAGATTTTCTAGAATGCACAGCATAGTAAAGACAAACATGAGTAAAATTATGGTGAAATTTAAGCCATGAGGGTCAGTGCATCTTAATGCCCTGTGACATTGTACTTGAGGGTTTACCAGTAGATTAATACCCTTTAAGCATGAGAATTACTGATTGAGAGAACTTCAAATGAATTTGCTTCTAGTGTGTTGATAAAGTTAAATGTGATTTATCATAGGTGGGTAAGAATATGGTTGGTAGATAGGAGACAACAGGGCTAGGATATTCAGAAAATAACCTCCAGCAAGCTTTGTAAAAGCAAAAGCATATATTGATGTAAAAACTTTACATATGTAATTGCATGATATACCATCATGTTGCTCAAACTGCATTAAAGTGTGATTGAGAATTCACCACAATGTATGTTGATGTAATAGTAAATATCAGATTATGTCATAATTTTTCTTAGAATTATGGCTTGAGTGATCTATTTGACACAGTTATTATTGTTAATGATTTTAAATATTTTCATCTAATTTCAAGCTTTTGGTTTTCTTTAATGTACTTTATCATTCTTCATCAAAGAAGGTCATGTAGAAATATAATGTTTCTTTTTTCTAGATGTTATTTTTACTCATGCTCTGCAAAACTTTGGTAATAAATTTTGGTTTCTGGAACAATCCATTGAACAGTTTCATCATCATGATAATTATTGCTAACTTACATTGAACAGTTACTTTGTGCCAAGAACACTTTTTAGTATTTCCCACATTTGCACATTTAATCTCTCCAACAAGCATATGTAGGTTTTTAATTTTGCTCGTTTTCCAAATACAAAATCTAAGGAAAGAACTAAAGTAAGAACAAAAATGTTACCTACTTTTCCTAACATCACACAGCATGAAGGTGGCTGAGGGAGAATTCAAGCTCATCAATAACAGACAGAGTGAAAAGGAGGAATGGAGAAGAGGAGAATGAGAGAGAAAAAAGAGAAGATAAAGGGAGAAGATCCAGGGAGAGAAGAGGGGAAGGAAAAGAGAGAAACATGGGAGACAGAGAGTGAAATAAATCAAGATACAAGGTCACAGAGAAATAAGAGAACAAAAGAAATAGAGAAAGTTATAAAGCTAATAGGCAGTGATTAGAACTATGTAATAAATGTGGTAAATGTATACTCTTTGAGAGCACAGATGAAACACATCTAATATTTAGCAAAGTGATTTTCACTAGCAGGTGCTTACATGTATTTTATATAATATTTATAATGAACAATTTTAATCAGAGACAAAATATGAGGAAGATGTAAAAGAGGAAGAGAGAGAGTGAATGATGAATATCAAAGATTAAAGCACTTCACTAAATCTTGTATTTTTTCCCAAAATACAGCTGGTGAAAATCTTATCCTTGAGTAGAAAGGAATCAAACAAGTCATATACCACCCGTCTTCCTGTCTGTACTGGAACCATCACAGGCTTTTGAGGAACTACTTTTGAACCGTTCCCCAGAGAGGCATTTGCCCCAGTAGCTATGATTATAATTTGCAATGACAGCCACAGTGATTTCATCCTTCTGGGCTTCTCTAACAAGCCACATTTGGAGAAGATACTTTTTGGATCATTTTTATTTTTTATTTTTTGACTCTTGCAGGAAATATGGTCATAGTTCTTGTGTCCTTGAAGGATCCAAAACTCCACATCCCTATGTATTTCTTTCTTTCCAACCTTTCCTTGGTAGACCTCTGTTTGACCAGCAGCTGTGTTCCACAGATGTTGATTAACTTCTGGGGCCCAGAAAAGACCATCAGCTACATTGGCTGTGCCATTCAACTCTATGTTTTTTTGTGGCTTGGGGCCACGGAATGTGTCCTTCTTGTTGTCATGGCTGTGGATTGTTATGTAGCAGTGTGTCATCCACTGCAAAATACCATGATCATGCACCCAAAACTTTGTCTGCAGCTGGCTATCTTGGCATGGGGGACTGGCTTGGCCCAGTCTCTGATCCAGTCCCCTGCCACCCTCCGGTTACCCTTCTGCTCCCAGCGGATGGTGGATGATGTTGTTTGTGAAGTCCCAGCTCTGATTCAGCTCTCCAGTACTGATACTACCTACAGTGAAATTCAGATGTCTATCGCCAGTGTTGTCCTCCTGGTGATGCCCTTGATCATTATCCTTTCCTCTTCTGGTGCTATTGCTAAGGCTGTGCTGAGAATTAAGTCAACTGCAGGACAGAAGAAAGCATTTGGCACCTGCATCTCTCACCTTCTTGTGGTTTCTCTCTTTTATGGCACTGTCACAGGTGTCTACCTTCAACCAAAAAATCACTATCCTCATGAATGGGGCAAATTTCTCACTCTTTTCTACACTGTAGTAACCCCAACTCTTAATCCCCTCATCTACACTCTAAGGAACAAGGAGGTAAAGGGAGCACTAATAAGATTGGGGAGGAGGACCTGGGATTCCCAGAATAACTAACAAGGTTAACATATGTTTACCTTTGCTTAACCTAAGAATAGAGAACAACCTCATCACAAAAAGCTGGAGATACACCTCCTAAGCCAAAAGTAGGAGAGAAAGAGCTGCATTCTGTTCAGGTTGAGATTTCAGTTTCCTTCATCAATCAATTGGGCCCTTAAATTCTTCATATTGTGGATTTAGACACAGTATGGTATAAAAATTAATATATTTAATAGCTATTGTCTTGAAAAGGACACAATGCAATTGAATGGGGGAGGAGGAGAAGACACAAGAAACACATTACTTGCAAAATAAAATACTAAGTAGTACGTTTCATGCCTTTCTATTTCGTTCTTTTTTTGTTCTATTTTCCTACAAGCTCCACCAGTGCTTTCAGTCCCAACAAGATTTCTAAAGTTTTGAGACAGAAACTTCTTGATCAACTTATATGTACCCCTATACTGTAATATGGCAGGTCTTGGTTTTAATTGCTTCTGTCTCTCTGTCTCAGCATGACCACTGTTGACCTGTAATGTGACTTTCACTATCCAATGCAAAGTGTTTGCCATGCCAAAGTCCACATTTACTGCTCTCTGGTGCTGATACTATGATGAGTGTGTGTGCAAGTTTCTCAGTTTGAGCCTTGATATTCTGGGCCCCCAGTTATAGGAATAGACTTCTGTGTTTTTCTTCATTCTGAGGCCTTATTGTAACAAAATGGTTATCTTTTTATCAGACCCAATTATTCTTTCACTTTATAGATATTTATGGCTTTCCTATTATATACCTATTATGTTTCAGATGGTAGTTATGTAATAGTAGATAAAACATATAAAATAATCAACATCGTGGAACTTATAACAATATCATCTCTTGCTCTTAGACTCTTTCACAGTATTGATATAATATTAGATTTGCCTCATTACAAAACCCATTTGTTTATTGCTTTACTCTTAGCTATTATTTGTCTTCTCCATTTACAACCAAACTTTTTCAATTTTGGAAGGAATATTAGGTTCAGCCACTGTGTTGCTTCAGATTGCAGCTAACAACACTGGTCTAGCAAGTGCTTCCCCCTCAGTTCACTCCTGTTCAGAGACAGTGACAATGTGATAGAAAATAAAAACCCATTTTCTGAGGAGAAATTCAAGCAGGCTGCAGAAATTTGCATAAGTAAGAAGGAGCCAAATGTTAATCACCAAGACAATGGGGAAAATGTCTCCAGGGCATGTCAGAGGTCTTCACAGCAGCCCCTCCCATCACAGGCCCAGAGGCCTAGGAGGGAGAAACAGTTTCCTGGGCCAAGCCCAGAGCCCCCCTGCTCTATGCAGCCTTGGGACATGGTGCCCGGTGTCTTATCTGCTTCAGCTCCATCCTTGGCTAAAAGAGGCCAAGGTACAGACCGCTTCAGAGAGTGCAAGCCCCAAGCATTGGCAGCTTCCACATGGTGTTGGTCCTGTGGGTGTGCAGAAGACAAGAACTGAGCTTTGAGAACCTCCGCCTAGATTTCAGAGGATGTATTGATGTGCCTGGATGTCCAGGAAGAAGTTTGCTGGGTTGGCAAGAGCCCTCATGGAGAATCTCTGCTAGGGCAGTGCAGAAGAAAAATGTGGTGTTGGAGCCCTTACACAGAGTACCCACTGGGGCACTGCCTGGTGGAGCTGTGAGAAGAGGGTCACCATCCTCCAGACTCCAGAATGATAGACCCACTGACAGCTTGCACTGTGTGCCTGGAAAAGCTGGAGACACTCAATGCCAGCCTGTGAAAGCAGCCAGGAGGGGAGCAAAGCCACAAGGATGGAGTTGCCCAAGGCCATGGGAGCCCACCTCTTGCATCAGCTTGACCTAGATTTGAGACATGGAGTCAAAAGAGATCATTTATGAGCTTTAAGAATTGACTGCCCTGCTGGATTTCGGACATGCATGGGTCCTGCAACACCTTTGTTTTGGCCAATTTCTCCCATCTGGAATGGGTGTATTTACCCAATGCTGTACTCCCATTGTATCTAGGAAGTAACTAACTTGCTTTTGATTTTACAGGCTTATAACCAGAAGGGACTTGCCTTGTCTCAGATGAGACTTTGGACTTGGACTTTGAGTTAATGCTGGAATTAGTTAAGGCTTTGAGGGACTTGTTGGAAGGGCATAATTGTGTTTTGAAATGTGAGGACATGAGACTTGGGAGGGGCCAGGCACAGAATGATAGGGTTTGGCCTTGTCTCCACCTAAATCTAATCTTGAATTGTAGTTCCCATAATCCCCATGTGTCTTGGTAGGGACCTAGTGAGAGGTTGAATCATAGGAGTGGTTACTCCCCATGCTGCTGTTCTCATGATAGTGAGTGAGTTCTCACAAGATCTGATGATTTTATAAAGAGTTTTTCCCCTTTTGCCCTTTTTCTCTCTTCTGCTGCCATCTGAAGAAGGATATGTTTGCTTCCCTTTCTGCCATAATTGTAAGTTTCCTGAAGCCTCCCCAGCCTTGCGGAACTGTGAGTCAATTAAACTTCTTTCCTTTATAAATTACCCAGTCTCAGGTACGTCTTTATTAGCAGCATGAGAATGGACTAATATACCTTCTCTCATGTTAACTGCCCTCTTGGATCAGACGTTGTAGAGATAATTTATCTTGTTCCCAACATAATTTTTCTCTTGAGGGGTGGTTTTGAGGTTAGTGGTCTGAGTTCACACTCATCAAAATCTGAGCTTATTCTAGCATTAAGGTCTGCTTTGGCATTCTCTTTTAATTTCATTTTAGCTATTACAGATTACAATAAGCAATGGATTATATATTTTTCTTTTAAAAATTAGTTTGCATTTCTTTATGGATCTTGTGAACCAGCTCTCTGGGGGTTGGATTTGTATCTAAATTATAGAAAATTTGAATGATCCTGGGAAGACAGGAGGCTTTTCTCTCCAGCAATTTGCAGAGTTGGGTCTGTAGTTAAGATCAAGAGCAGTTGACAGAATTGGTAGCAGCACAAGAGATCATGAGCCACCTAAGGTGACCTAACTGAGTTGTTTCTGGAGATCTAATTTTTTTTTTTTTAGATGGAATCTCACTCTGTCGGTCAGGCTGGAGTGCAGTGGTGCCATCTCAGCTCACTGTAACCTCTGCTGCCTGGGTTCAAGCAATTCTCCTGCCTCAGCCTCCTGAGTAGCTGGGATTAGAGGTGCCTGCCACTGCACCTGGCTAATTTTTGTAGTTTTAGTAGAGACGGGATTTCACCATCTTGGCCAGGCTGGTCTTGAACTCCTGACCTCATGATCTACCCTCCTCAGCCTCCCAAAGTGCTGGGATTACAGGCATGAGCCACCACGCCCAGCCTCTAATTTCTTTTTTTAAAATTTAATTTAATATTAAGTTCCGGGATGCATTTGCAGGACGTGCAGGTTTGTTACATAGGTAAATGTATGTCATGGTGGTTTGCTGCACCTATTAACCCACCACGTAGGTATTAAGCCCCACATGCATTAGCTATTTATCCTGATGCTCTTCCCACCTATCCCCGACAGGTCCCAGTGTGTGTGGTTCCCCTCCCTGTGTCCATGTGTTTTCATTGTTCAGCTCCCACTTATAAGTGAGAACATGCAGTGTTTGGTCTTCTGTTCGTGTGTTAGTTTGCTGAGAATGATGGCTTCCAGCTCCATCCATGTCTCTGCAAAGGATGTGATCTTGTTCCTTTTCATGGCTGTGTAGTATTCAGTGGTGTATATGTACCACATTTTCTTTATCCAGTCTATCATTGATAGGCATTGGGGTTGATTCCATGCCTTTGCTATTGTGAATAGTGCTGCAAAGTACATATGTGTGCATGTATCTTTATAATAAAATGATTTATATTCCTTTGGGTATAAACCCAGTAATGGGATTGCTGGGTCAAATGGTATTTCTGGTTCTAGGTCTTTGAGGAATTGCCACACTGTCTTTCACAATGGTTGAACTCAGGCATCCTATAAAATGGGAGAAAATTTTTGCAATCTATCCATCTGACAAAGGTCTAATATCCAGAATCTATAAGGAGCATCACTGATTATTAGAGAAATGCAAATCAAAACCAGAATGAGATAACATCTCACACCAGTCAGAATGGCCATTATTAAAAAGTCAAGAAATAATAGATGCTAGCAAGGCTTTGGAGAAATAGGAAACAGCTTTTACACTCTTGGTGAGATCTGATTTCTTAATTAACTTAGATACTAATTTATTAATAGACAGGAAACTAATTTCTAATTTCTTAGCAGATACATACTGGCTTCTCAGCCAGGCTACTGACCTTTACCCCTTACATACACACCTTAACTTCTGTATGAACATGGATGTGACTGCATTGGGTAAGAGAGGGGAGAGGTGGTGGGCAGCAGAAGGGTGGCCTCTTTGAGGAAGATGTGGGTAAGGATAGCAGGATTCTACTTAGGGGTAGACAGAGCAGTGAACTTTCTGTGGATCAGAGACCTGGGTTTTGATTCTATGCTTGTACTGTCAGAGTATGCATATTCCATGTAGATTGTAGCCTGTGGCAGAGAGAAGAAAGTAGTCATCCTTCAATGCCTTCTCATCAGCTTCAAGATAATATGCCATTCATTCAAAATATTTTTATTGATCTCTTAGTGTATGCAAGAAAATATGTGGAAGGCAGTGGTGACTTAGAGACTCTAAGAAACTGGTTTGACTATAGGGTGGCAATCGGGGGAACAGTATTATTAACAGCCTAGAGAGGTTGGTGTGGTCTTGTGGGTTGTATTTGGACTTTAACAGTAACAGAGGAGCACTGCAGCTATTTAAGCAGGAGAGACTCTCTTGTCTTTCTCTGAGATTCTCTCCCTATGTCTCTAAATCTGTTTCTCTGCAGAGAAACAGATTTTATCCATATGCTCTTTATCCATACAGCCTTTATCTATAAGCTCTTCATCTGTTTCTCTTTGTTTCTCTGCTTCTCTGTCTCTTTTTGTCTCTCTACTGCTTTGTTTCTCTCCATTACTGTTATTGTAGCAGTATCTATATATCTCTCTGGGTCTCTTTCCAGCACTAGACCTCCCTGTGCCTTTAAGGAAATAAAGGAGCATAGGGCATTGGACCTGAAGCAGTATCTTTTGTTTCTTACCCTCTACTAGATCTTGCTGTCTGCCCTTGTCTCTGCGTATTAGTGAGCGTCCTCTCCTGACTCAACAAAGAAAGTAAGAGAATGAAGTGTATAGAACTGAAAATGCCTTGACATATTCTTTTTCTCAAATGTGTCCAGATTTTTCCAAAAAGATTGAGCTTTAGAATTTATGTGATATCTAACCAAAGTGAACAAGTTCTGTGTCCCCAAAAACTCAGGATCCACCTCTATGACAAGGAGGAGCTCAGATAATCCATAATATTCCAATTCTTACCACTATTAAAACAGTTCTATTTAGCATCCAATACTAGGTTCATAATTCTGAACATCAGAATCTCAGAAGGTTTTCTGCATTCATAAATATTTTACTGTTTTTAAGAGGGTTCAATGTATTGGTTTTTGATACTTCAAAAATGATCGTGTACATGTGGTAGATGTATCAGGGTCCTTTGGTTGTAAAAAACAGAAAATACCTCTGGCCATCTTAAAAAAAATAAATTTTGGTTCAACCATTGTGGAAGTCAGTGTGGCGATTCCTCAGGGATCTAGAACTAGAAATACCATTTGACCCAGCCATCCCATTACTGGGTATATACCCAAAGGATTACAAAACATGCTGCTATAAAGACACATGCACACGTATGTTTATTGTGGCACTATTAACAATAGCAAAGACTTGGAACCAACCCAAATGTCCAACAATGATAGACTGGATTAAGAAAATGTGGCACATATACACCATGGGATACTATGCAGCCATAAAAAATGATGAGTTCATGTCCTTTGTAGGGACATGGATGAAACTGGAAACCATCATTCTCAGCAAACTATCGCAAGGACAAAAAACCAAACACTGCATGTTCTCACTCATAGGTGAGAATTGAACAATGAGAATACATGGACACAGGAAGGGGAAGATCACACACCGGGGACTGTTGTGAGGTGGGGGGAGAAGGGAGGGATAGCATTAGTAGATATACCTAATGCTAAATGACAGTTAATGGGTGCAGCACACCAACATGGCACATGTATACATATGTAACAAACCTGCACATTGTGCACATGTACCCTAAAACTAAAAGTATAATAATAATTTAAAAAAAAGAAAAATCAATTGGAGAAGATAAAATTTTATAATAAAAAAAAGAAAAATAAATTTTGGAAAGATACAGTGAGTACCCCACCAAATGAAAGAACCAGTAGGACCATCAGGTTACTGGAGTAAAATGAATCAGGGTAGGCCTGGGGAATTCAGATTGGAAGTAACAGGTAACCCCATTTGGACAATACCATCTGTTGAAGATTCAAAGCACTAAGAAAAACTGACTTGTTGAAATTGGATCACTTGTTCACCCTTGTGATCAGTTTCATGGTCAAGAACTCACTGGAACTGTATGGAATAGGAATAGCCGTTCTCATGAATGTTCACAAATAGAGAAGAACAAGGGATGGCAACTTCTGTTATAGCAACTCATTATTAACTGCCTGTTTGATTATGGTATTCTATTCCTCTCTCTGCCAGGGAATAGAAAGTTTTTGCGTTTTGCTTGAGAATTGGGAAACATGAAGAACAGTGACTGAGTAAGGGGCTGGGTGTTATTTATAGCATGATTATAAATCTTTTATATTTGAAGGATTTTCAAGTTCCCCTTTGATTCCTTGAGTTGTTACATTTGAAATTCAAGGTGGTAAGTTGATTATGAGACCCTTCATTCTCCTTCTTCTACACTTGAGATCTGACCAAACACAAAAAGGGATAGGTTGCCAAAAGGAGGGCTTTGTTTAACTTTTTTGGAGTATTAGAACCTTATGGGTCTAAAAAAATATTTACATTAAGAAAATATTGACCATGAAGGAGAGCATGTAAACTCTGTAAAACAATGAAAACAAACAAGACAGAAGTTTCCAGTTTCCCCATTGCTTTCTACCTTTGTCCTCTTTTCTTATTCTTTCCTATTCTTTTATTCTTTTTTCCTTCTTTCTTTCTTTCTTTCCTCCCTTCCTCTCTCTTTTCCTTTCTTTCTTCCTCTCTCTCTCCCCACCCCATGAACCTTGACTAACTAACAAACCTCAAGGCTTGCAAAAATCATTCTCAAAAAATACTTTTCTGATGATTATTGACATGAAAGGGGCATGAAAGCAGGTATAAGCCCCCAACTGAGATTTTAAAATAGAAAGCTGTTGCCTTAGCCAAAACAAGGTAACGAGGATGTGTACTCCACTTCCTCTATCCTGTAAAAACTCTGATCTGACTTCAGTAAGGAGATCTCAATGCTCATCACCTGAATAAAGTCTTTAGCCTTTGAGTCACATCATTTTCATTTGACAGTCTTTGTCAGTGATTCCCGAATAGCACATGTGTAAAAATCCATCTATCCTCCCAGATTTTGGGATTGATGGATGTGGCCTTGGATGAACAAAGTCCCAGTGGCCAATCTTCCCTGGTGAAAGTCAGCCTTGTACATCTAACTTAAAGTGTGCTATGAAATGAAAATGTTTTGGAAGCACTGCCTGTTCTCCCCTATCGCCACGCACACTGCTGGTCTCTCTTGGTTGCCAGGCACTGGTTTAGGTTCTGAGCAGAATACTCCACAGTGTTCTCTACAGTGTGTTGTAGAATAGGAGGGTCCTGGCAACCTGAGGCAGAGCTGGTGTTACAGAGTACCTGCCTACTGCTATAAAGTTTTACTTTATACGAATTCTGGAGAAGCTGAGTGAGGCCATGTCTGTTACCAGGAGACATGAGACTCACAGCAGATCTCTCTGGCTTAACATGGGAGATGGCGGTAAGTGCAGCTATATCTGAATTTTTTTAATAGTTAAAAGCTGACTTTATCCAAATAGGGATTAATGTATTTTCCATAAGAAGTTCTGTTCTAGGTAGAAAAAAAGTGAAGATTTTGGTTAGGTTAAACTGATTTTTAAAGTATAGGAAGAGTTACAGATTTTTTTCTTATTGAGTCTAGTCTTGAGAACAATTTATCAAGAACTCCAAATTTAAAGGCAATTAGTTAATTAAAAACTTGAAAGATCTAACTCTTTGAGTTTAAACTGGACTCATTAGAAAACAAATGGAAGAAAAAGGTATCTAAATGTTCATAATGACTTGTGTCTGACATTAAAACAAGGATTCAGTCACTAGAAGATATGTCAAAGTCCATCAGTACCAAATGGATAAAGCCAAAATAACTTTAAAACTATATCACATGAATGAAGACTTGCCATAGCAATAAAGTAGAGTTTGGATGAAGACGTCCATCTTCGGGAAAACCCAAAATAGCTTTTACAAAAAACTGAAGGATGAAATAAAAGATTAAGCCAACAGAAATAAACATATTGAAAATATCTCAATAAACAGAAATAACTTAGAGTGAGTCAGAACTGAGAACACCTAGAACAAGTTCCAAAGAACAAGAAAAGTCAGAGCAAATCTCTGACACTTGGAGAAGATAAAACAGATGCAGGTATGTTAGAGTGGATGTAATAAACAAATCAGAACATGTATATTACTTAGATAGCTCTCAATAATCTGATTTATGCTTTTGTAAAACCTTTGGAGAGGACACAAACAAAATATAGTCTGAATTATCTGAAAAGAATAAAAGGAACACTTAAAATCATATTAAGCATATAAAATAAATCAAGAATCTTTGGACCAGAAAATGCACAGTATGAAAATTAGCTTCAAAATCTCCAGGACAGAGATTAAGTAATTACTGATATATATCAAGAAAATGAAATAAAACTTCAGATCATTTACATATTTATACATCTTAAAGTAGAAGAAGATAACCTTCCTCATTGATTCTACCTTCAAATAGACCTGCTTATTATTATTATTTTTTAATGTTTTTGTAGAGATGGAGTCTTGCTATTTTGCCCAGGCTAGTCTTGAACTCCTGGGCTCAAGCGATCTTCCTGCCTCTGCCTCCCAAGTGCTGGGATTACAGATATGAGCCACCGCAACTGGCCCTGAACCTACTTTTAACATCCAGGAAAAATAGCCATATCATTGTTGTCCTAAAGTAATTAAAAATTCTCTCTATTCTAGTTTCGTTGCTGTTAAATTGTTATACAGGAGTTCAAATTGAAGCTTAATAGAATTAAAACTCTTAGGATGGTGTTTTCTAAATATATATTACTTAAATGTTGGGGAAGAGAAATAATTTTAATTTCTAGATAGTACATGTACAATATTCTGTTTTTTAAATAAGTTATAGTGGGAGATTTATAAAGGCAGTTGAACAATCAAAGACATTTGGAACTAAATTTCTGTATATCAAGTGCTGTATTTACTATAGTTAAAACACAAGTATGAAAACAATGGAATGTTTATATACAAATGACTTTTATAAATGACTATTTCAATTGATTTAAGAAGTCATTTGATGAAAATGATAAAATAGTTAGAGATATAGTGGGAAAAAAAGAGACCCACGGGGAAACACCATGATAGACTGAGCCAAATGTAGAGCTCAGCTCTTCCTCCCCCAGGATCATAACATATCACCAGATAAACCTTTGAAAAAAAACGAAATGCAACAAAACAAAAAGAAAATCCAGAAAAGAAAATCGTTAGTTTTCTATATTTCATAATTTCTGTACTTTCCCTCTTCCCAGGTGTCTGTTCACACCTTCTCTGCTCTATCCAAGCGCACATCCTTTCCTTTTCTTCACTCCCAACTGATGCCTCTGCTTTTCAAAACTTCAGAGAAAATTGGAGAAATCAGAAAGGAATTTCTATCAGATTTCAATACTACCTCAACACACCCACCTGCTTCTATATCCATGTATTCTACTTTCTGTCTGGTTCCTATTGATGAACTGTTTGTGCTCTAGCAAAGGCTGATCAATCCTCTGCTGCCCTGGATCCATCCCCTCACCGACCTAAAGACTTTGTTTCTGAGTTCACCCTCACTCTCCTGCTGTGTAATTTTGCATACTCTATAGGTCATTACCATAGAATACAAGCATGCTGCCATTACATCCATCTTACAGAAAAAAACTCTTTCTGCCTTCTCTTGACCTCCCTTTCCCTACAGCTATTGAATCATTTCTTCCTGCCTTCAGCAAAGCACTATTCATGAGTTTTCTATGCTTTCTGTCTCTAAGTTGTCTCCCACTGTTCTCTCTTGCTTCCATTCCAGTGTGGCTGTTGCCTTCTTTTTCTCTAGCAAAACTCCTCCCTTAGTGTCACAGATGACTTCCTTATTGCTAAATCCAATGGTCAGTTCTTAATCTTCATCTCACTTGACCTACTATACTAACAGCCTTTGACACAGCTCCTTCTTCTTTGATATACTTTAATACTTTCTTTTTTTTTTCTTTCACCCAAAGCAAGATTCCTCCTCCTATCTTGTCTGAAGGAGAGTGGCGAGAGCAGATTAAAGCATCCGTGAGGCAGCCTTCTAAAATTTCTCAGGAAGTGGTAGCCAGTGTGAAAATGTATCACCTCACCTTGCTTCATATTTCCCTTCTCTCAGTTCCCTTTTTTTCTCACCTTTGCTGCCCTCTATTTGCATTCCCAAATAAAACATTAATATTTCCTTTTTTGCCTCAAGCTCTGATTTTTAGAGAATCTAGGCTAAGAAACTCACTAAGGTCTTAAGGTAAAAGGCCCAGCAAACACACTGTTATTTTGCTCAATCACAGAACGCTCTAGCTATTCAAAAACTGTTTTCTCTTTCTCCTTCTTCCACATGCACATCCACTAAACCCCGGACCCCAAATTGACAGACCATTCCCAAAACAATAACTTCTGGGTATGTGCTGGCCCTGGCTGGTGGCTTTTCAGTGTAGAGTTCCATGGTTCTAAATTCTTGACTTCAGGAACTCTCCAAATTATATAAAATGGCAAACTCAGAACCAGTTATTTATACTTGAAATACATTTTTATGTATAAAGAAATAAATTTTAACATATTAAGGCATAGTCACAGGACAAATGACAAGTATTGTCATTGTACAGTCATCTAGTGTGTTTGGATTATAAAGGCACACAAGGATTTTTATGGTAGGGAAGACATTGCTATTGTTTTCAACAGAGAAATAGGAGGATTAGGCAGAGGAAGGGAATTAGGAGAAATTTCACCGAAAAAGCCCATGAAGCTTTGGGTAAGGCAGACGAGGCTGGATATGACAGGAAGAATTTGCTGGATACATTATGGTCTGCTGGCACCATCTGGTGTTGAACCCAAGAAAAAACGGAAGATGAAGAAAAAGCTTTCAGAAAGTAATGGAGCCAAGATGAGGCCCACTGAGGGTCTTGTTCAAGTGACATCGGGATCTCGTAACAGAACAAATGGCTGTCAAAGTAGCTGGAAAAGCCCTAGGCTATATCTCCTTAGGGCTCCTTCCTTCCCCAACTTTCCAGATGTCAGACCCTAACCTACCTCAGAGATAGCACTTTACCTTTCACCCTCTCTTACCCATGTTCCTCCAACTGGTGCCATTCCCATCTGACTATCCCATGCCCACACCCAGATCCAGAAGCTGGATAACCCCGCCTCCCTAAACAGCAGATGCCATGTTGGAGAGGTGAATGCAATTGGAATCACTGAGCATTTACTTCACGTTCTCATTTCCACCGATTTTACCTCATGCCTCACTATTTAATAATATAAAATTAAAGTAAAATCTTCCCTTCAAAAAAATTTTTAATGAAATAACATTGCTCTGAAAAAGATAGTTCAACATATGTCAAAATGGCCTTTTCTCTTATTATAAAAATGAAAATTTAAAACCATACATAATGAAACAAAAGGACACTAAAAACATTTTATCAAATATGTTTGTATATGTTCCTGTGCTTTTGTGTTTCTATGTGCACACCTATGCTTTGTGCACTAGAATGACTGCTGCTAGTCTCACTCTGACCCTGTAGGCTTACTCCCATGTAATAAAACATGCCTCTTGATATAGCAATATGCCCTGATTTATGGCAGTGCTTCTATGCCAGGAGCATTTTTGCTTCCTAGGGCATATTTGACAATGTCTGGAGGTATTTTTGCTTGTCACAACTTGGGGGGAAAGGAGATGCTACTAGCATCTAGTGCACAGAGGCCAAAGATACTGCTGAGCATCCTAAAATGCAGAAGAGAGACCCTGACAACAGAAAATTATCTGTTCCAAAATGTCCAGAGGGCTAAGGGTGAGAAATTTTGATTTATAAAACACTGGTACCCATGTCCTGTTTGGATCTGAGCTCTTTTCCTTTTGCCAAGTGTGCATAGTTTCAAAGCAGGCCCCAGATGGAATTCTGTGAACTCTCTGTTTAATTGAAGATGGAAAAGATATCATTAATTACTAACTGCTGGTGAATGTCCCTTCTTGTGAATAACTGAAATAAAAAATCATGTTATCAAGTGTTAGAATGAGTGATTTGGCCTGTTCCCCCAGTTTGCCACAGCCTGCTCTAGAACACAGATACCTATTCCTTTTCAGTGCTTGAGTATATTTAAATAAAGCATGCCCTAATTTATAGTTAAGTTTTAAGTAATTCAAGAAGGGCTCTATACTTTTCTCTGAGTTGATCCAAAACAATGACTATTATATAATAAACAAGACCTTGTATACCAAAATTGTGTTTGAGGGCTTATATGTCTTTTTTTAATGAATAAATAAAAGGTGGAAACGGAAGGAAGGGAAGGAAAAAAGCAAGAAAGGAAGGAAGGCTAAAGAAAAGCACAGGAAGCCGGGGAGAGCGAGAAACAGAAATGATGTGACTCATGGAGATCTAAAAGGCATGGGGGAATATTGCCTTACATGGGCTCAAAAGAAGTCTGGAAAGAGATTGGAGAGGATAGAAAGCTCTGAGGCCAAGTGAAATACAGTAATGCAGATGGAGAAGATTACATCTCTTCCTTTACAGACTGGCAAAGTTCTTGAGTGAAAAATTATACAAGATGACCTTTAAAGTTGCTTTGTGAAAAAAGTTGAGCGCTGTGTACTCTGCTTCATTTTTTATGTGCCTAAGTCTCTGTTAAATAATCGCAGTGCTCCTTTCACGTCATTATTCCTCAGTGTGTAGATGAGAGGATTGAGGGTCGGGGTCACAACTGTATAGAAGAGGGAGATGAACTTCCCATGAGCATGGGCATAAGAACTGTTGGACTGGATGTAGACAGCTGTGATGGTCCCACAGAAGAGGGACACTACTATCAAATGGGATCCACATGTCCCCAGGCCTTTGCACCAGGCCTGGACTGACTTGATCCTTATGACCACCTTGGCTATATGTCCATAGGACAGCAGTATTAGCACTAAGGGCAAGAGGAGCAAGACCAGTGAAGCAACAAAGAGCTGAACCTCATTATCATGGATGTCCACACATGCAAGCTTAATCATGGAGGGTACCTCACGAAGAAATGTTGGAGCAATCGGTGTCCACAGCGAGGAAGCCAGAGGGTGACAGTGCCCTGGATAAGAGTGTTTCCCACTCCACTCAGCCACGCAACCCCTGCCAGAGCCTGGCACAGCTGAGGGTTCATTACGGCGGTATAGTGGAGAGGTTTGCAAACTGCAGCATAGCGATCAAAAGCCATTACAGCCAGGAGGACACACTCAGTGGAGCCCAATGCCAGGGAGATGTAGAGCTGGATGACACAACCCAGGAATGTGATTGTTTTGTCAGGTCCTTTTAGGTTCCACAGCAGCTGGGGGACAATACTGGTGGTAAAACAGATATCAACTAAGGAGAGGTGAGTAAGAAAAAATACATGGGTGTCTTGAGTTTAGGGTCTACAGAGCAGATCAGAATAATTACTGTATTTCCCACAAGGGTAAGGAGATAGGATATCAAAACAGCCACAAAGAGGATCTTTTCCAGGTGGGGCTGATGAGAGAAACCCACCAGGATGAAGTCTCCCTTGACACTGCTGTTGGTCATGCCCATCACCCTGTTCAGAACTAGGAGAAACACATTACAAGAATTCAGGGAGGATAATGTGTTGGCCATTGGGCAAAATATCAATCTTTAAAAAGTTTTGATTAATCTCTAATCAAAACACTGACTCAGAGATGTTACAGTGACCCATGGAATAAATTTTGATATAGAAATCACAAAAGAAGACCTTAAAGAAAATACATAATACAGAGAGATACATGAAGGCTATTGTGGAAGCAGTATTTTCCTGACTGATAACTATTAGAAGCTGAGATAAAGTGTATCACAGAAAAAATAAAGGCAGAAAGAAAGAAAATGTCAAAGGAATAAAGTACATTCAATTAATTTATAACTCAGGACAAATTGTTCAAATTCAGTGAAAAAACTCAGTAATGGTTAATATATGCAAATAATTAATATAAATAGCATTTCCATTCTTCAATTGTAAATTCTGAGTTGGGCATTTTTTAAGGTTTTTCTTTATATGAATGGTAGCTCGCTTCTGGAGATTATAGAGGTTATTTTTCCTATAAAATGGCAAACATTTGGCTATTGAAAGTAATAATATTAACATTTATAACTTAATGTTTAATTATATGGACACATACTTTCAATGACTTATTTTCTTTAGGGATTCGTTAACTCATTTAGTCCACCAGCATACTGATGACGTAAACTCATGCAGTTTATTCAGCAAAGATATTCTTATGCAAGCATTATGCAGCACACCTCATGTTTAGTCATCTAGTTTACCTTCTGGCCTATAAGCTGGATTCATCTATGATAGTCCTGATTTGCAAAGTTCTCCTTCTCTTCTTTGGTGTGTGGTGTTAGGGAAGGGAGTTAGCTCTCTGGTCTTGTGTGTTGAATGAAGAGGTAGTTGAATCTGAATGGAAAGAGTGGTGATCAGGGTAAGAAGGGCTCTTTAGTGAGACTAAGAGGCATCAAACCAACATAGAATGTTTATCTTCTAGAAGATGAAAAGATCAAAATTTTTAATCAGCTTTTTAAAAGTCCAAACACTTATAAATGCAGAAGTTTAAAATATATTCACAGATACAAAGTATATACCCAAATTTCACGACTTTACCTCATATATAGGACAAATAGGCACTTTCCACGTGGCATCAGGAAAAATTACTCCAGCCTAAAATTCTTCCCCTACAATAACTGTATATCCTGAAATTGCATTAATATTTGTTCTGAAAATTAGTCATTAAAGTAAAATATATAAGGTAATTTTCACTGCTTTTTTAATATTTATTTCACTTATCATCTAAAAATTGTACTTAGCAGTACTCAATGGAAATGAAAAGAAGTCACAGGAAAAGTCAGAGGAGGCATGGGTACCCCATAAAAGGATGAAGACACTGAGTGATCCCTCAAAATAGGGGGAGGAGAGCACAATAGTAAAAAGAGAACATGAAAGGACCCTTAAGGAATAAACCAGTTTATAAATATGCTACATGTAATATATTCAATATAACGTATACTAAATATATATAGTTCTAATAATTTCACTCACAGTTATACACATACATACCCATAAAAACATACATACATGCGTAAGTCTTCCGATTCTCTCATTTATGTTAATTCCCACCCATTTAGCTACACTAAATTGTACTCGTTTTACTTGTATCAAAGGAATAAAATAAAGCCAGACACACATCACTCTTGTTCTAATCTGTTTAATGCAGCCTGCTCATTGTCAATTTACCCATCCCAATCAAAGGAGACTTCTCCTGTATTTTTAACACACACTCACACACAATACCTCCAAAGAAACGCGATGAGAGATCAATTCACAGTCATGAACCAGCTCCTTATTTGTAGGAATATGTTTGTTTTAGGCTTGTAGAAGAATTTTATTTTACCATGATGCAAAATTTAACATGGGCACTATATAATCTCCCCTCACCCAGATGAACATCACTTTAAACCAGTTCGCCATTAAAAGTTAAGAATCATGGGCATGGTATAGAAATAAAATCAAAGCATAAAAAGAAATAAATATGTTACAAGAAAAAAAGTTTTCCACATTTTTTTCACACTAATAATCATATTTTAATACAGAAAGGAAGCTTAAGCCATAGAGTTCAAACCATTATTACCTTCAAGTGACAACTCAGTGTCTAAGGCTCATGTATTGGTTGTCGGGGCTGTTATTTGAGATTGGAGATCACTGAAGATCAGCAAATCAGGAGACACTGGCAAGGACGCAGGACACTGAATCCAAAAAGATCCCAGGGACACAGTTCTCCCAACATGCAATTAATATCAGGCTCTGTAGTATCCAAAGATGAAATGTCCCAGGAGTTTATTCTGAAAGAAATAATTTTGACTCTCTGATCTTTCAATATTGTGTAAATCTAGGCAAAACCACAAAGATATTTAACTTCTGCCCTCATAGCCTCCCAACGTTCAATTTTCTCATTTCTGCTGTTAAGTTTCTATCAAAAATCTAGTATTTTATATATGCAAGTACATATAATTAATTTATCCTGTTGACTCATAACTTTAAATTCTCTTCTTAATAACTTTAAATTTTGGGGCACCTTGCCTTTACCTCACCTCTACTGAGACAAAAACGGCAGGCCTGCAGCCTTCCAACAGGGCCTTTTCCCTCATATCTAATAGGCACTTGACTGTTGCTGGAGATAAATATATAAATGTTTTGAACGGCGCCCTTAAACACCCCTGGTCTTTCTCAACTTCCAATGGGCTCTCTTCTGTCCAGAGGTCATTCTGTGTGTATCCTGTTTGTCTCTTGCATCACCATAGCAAATGTTCAACAAATTCTTAAATCCTCCAATCCAGTGTCCCACAGCTCTCCAAGCAGGTTATCTTGCCCTGACTTCCAAGACAAAACAGAGGGCCCAGGGGGAAATTCCATTAACTTCCTGTCTGTCACCTATAAATGTATATACATTCATACTCTTCCTTTATGATTTTTTTTCAGGTCTCAATAGAGGAAGTGAACCTCTATTTGTTTAAGGCAAATTCTATAAATATTTTAGGGTCCAAGAAAAATCTAATGCATATTCAAGTACAAGCAGGTGATATGAATGACTGAGTGGATAAGGTATAAGAAAAACAATTGTAGAAATGCAATGATAAGTGTCAACAAACATTTAGCTGAGGTCTATATGCAGTAATAAAAGAGTGGTGAACATTTTGCTGCACATGCCACATCTGAAGAAAACAACAACTGCTGAGCGCTAGTTGACCAATTTTCTATGCATTGAGCCCCAGGATTGCAAAATATTCTGAATTCTCAATGGAATCTAGATTTTTATGAAAGCTTTCATTTAAAAAAATAGTTTAGTTAGTGGGTGCAGCGCACCAGCATGGCACATGTATACATATGTAACTAACCTGCACAATGTGCACATGCACCCTAGAACTTAAAGTATAATAAAAAAAAGAAAAAAAGAAAAAAAAATGTTTGCTGAAGGCAAAAAAAAAAAAGTTTATATAAAATAGTTCATGAAGGTGCAACTTAATTATTACAAAGTGAACAAATTTTGATCAAGAAAACAATGTAAGAAACATTCTAGAATGACTCTCAATTTCATTTCCTTATGCTACTTATACCTGCCCCTTGTAACCATTATTATGATTTTTTTGAACTATATATAAACAAAATCATACAGCATTATTTCTTTTGTTTCTGCTTATATTTATTCAATGTTATCTTTGGGAGATTCATTTATGTGGTTGCGTATACCAATACAGCACTATATTTTTACTGCATTGTATTTCATTGTATAAATATGCCACAACTATTTTATCCTTTGTAGTACTGATAGGCTAGACATTTGGGTGCTTATGATTTTTGTCTTTTGTGAATATTGCTGCTGCAGTCACTTTAGTATATGTGTTTGGTAAGAAATGTAAGCATTTTGGCAGGGACGATACTGTGGAGAAATTGCTTAGGTTTGAGGTATGCATATATTCAGCTTTGGTAGATACCACCAATTCTGGAAGTTGGTTGCACAAACTTAAACTCCACAGTATGGTGAGAATTACAGTTGCTCCAAATCTATACTAACAGTGTTTTCTGTCCTCTTAATTTTAGCCATTCTGGTGATATATCATGAATATATCATTATGATTTTAATTTGTACTCACCTACTAACTAATGAAGTTGACCAGTTTCTCTTATATTTATAGTCATTGAGAAATCTTTTGTGTAGTATCCATTCAAGTCCTTGACTTTTTCCAAATTCATTTGTAGGAAATTTTTATATATGCCAGAGGTTTAAAAAATAGAAGGCAAGTTTCAAATACTATTTTAGTCAAGTATAACTTTGGCAACAAAACAAAATTTTAAAATTGCATGATAGTCCCATGAATTAACATAGATTTGAAAATATTACCAATTAATTCAATTATTTAAAATATTCTACACACTGCTGAAAGTAAATTTATTCCAGAAAAAAATGAAATTCATTTTTTCATTGTGTTAGCAAAATAACACAATAAAGAAACAACATTTTATAATCATATCATCAGATAAAAAATCAAGTATTTGATAAGTCTCAAAATATATAAAAATAATAAAAATGACTTAGTAAGCTATGAAAAGAATGATAGATCCTAATCTGTTAAACAGGATCCGAAAACCCTTTCAGCAAGCATTATGAATATGTTGAAAATTTTCTCTTTGAAATTGAGGAAAAGACAAGGACACCTTCTATTTCCATTTCCATTCAAACTACTTTGTTGTAGAGACTTTAGCCAGTATAATAGGATAAGACAAGGAACAAGCAAGATTGCAGTAGAAGAAATAAAATTTCATTATTATATATATGATTATGTATGTAGAAAATTCAAAGTGATTACAACTATTCATAGATGATTCAAAATTGTATAGATATTAATTATATCTTTGATCTCTATATTCAGTGCTAACTCAATCAAAATTCAGACTATTTGTAAAATTTTCTAAGATTATTCTAAAATGTATATAGAATACCAAGTTGTATATAGAATATCAAGTATCATTAATTCTGAGACACTCTTGAAGAAAAAATTGTCAACAAAAAAGAGTCAAACTCCATGAAATATTTAAAGAGTTTTATTCTGAGCCAAATGTGAGTAATTGACGGCCTGAGGCGCAGTCTCAAGACATCCTGAGAACAAGTGCCCAAGGTGATTGAATTACAACTTGATTTACATTTTAGGAGCATGTAAAAAATCAGTCAATACATGTGGGGTCTGTGTTGGTTCAGTCATGAAAGGTGGAACAACTCAAAGTGGGGCCTTCCACATCAAAGGTAAATTCAAAGATTTTCTTATTGGCAATTGGTTGAAAAACTTGTTACTATTTAAATGCCTAGAATCAATAGAAAGGAGTGTCTGGATTAAAATAAGGGATTGTAGAGAACAAGGTTCTTATTATGTAGATGAAGTCTCATAAGTGGTCACCCTTACAAGCAATAGATGGGAAATATTTTGTATTCAGACCTTTAAAAGATACTGGACTCTCAACTAAACTCTTCAGGATCAGAAAAAGACCTGGAAAGCAAAGGCGATTCGCTACAGAATGTAAATTTCCCCCACCAGAAGCAGCTTTGCAGGGACATACTCTCCTCCCTTTGGAATTCAGGCATAACTTACCAGCATTATTAACTTTAAAACAGAGATCTTAATTAAGACTGACAAAACAGATTCCTTATAGCAATAACATACCAAATTGCAACCTGACTCTAGTATAGCATCACATGATAGATAGCCAGTCCTGAAAGAAATCAAAGTATTTTACCCCAAAATAGATTTCTTTGACACCTTTTGGAATGCCTTTGAAAAGCTGTTGAAGTGGCATCGTTGTCTGGGGTAAATACCCAGGGTTCATCGTCTTGCACTAAGAAGATTAAGGACACGGACACATGTGGGTGTGTTAAGGAGCAGAGAGTTTAACAGGCAGAAGAAAGGAGAGAGGCAAGCAGCTCTCTCTCTCTCTCTCCCTCGTGAGAAAGAGGTTTTTGAAAGGGAAACAACTGGCTTGCGGCAGACCACAGCAGATTTTATAGGCAAGCTTGAGGAGGAGCCGGTGTCTGATTTACACAGGGTCACAGATTGGTTCTACCAGGTGTGACATTTACATAGCCCGCAGGGAAGTCTGGTTGACCCACCTTAATCTTATGGCCAGCACCATCTTGTCTGCTCCTTATTCTACACGTGGCTGACAAAGAGAAGGGAAGATGGAGCCACCATTTTGATCATGCTTAATCCCAGGTAGCCTTTTTCTATTAGCACAACTGCCAGCATTGATCAATGCAAACTTCCTGTTTGCTTGTCTATGTCTGCAGCTAGATTCTATACAGGCTGCTCTTTGTTAGAAAAAATGATTTGGGGGCTGCTTTTTATTAAAAGGAAAACCTTACCCAGGAAGGATTTCCTTACCCTCACTATCTGCCTAAATAATTTGTTTATAACACCTATATTATTGTTTCTTGTGGGGAAAATCTACATTCTGTATAGAATTCGCTACCCTTTCCAGGTCTTTTCCAGATCCAGGAGAGATTTAACTAATAGTCTGACACTTTTTAAGATCTCATAAGAGACATTTACTACTTAATTTTTTCTGAAGCCTGCCACCTGAAGACTTTATTTACATAACAAGAACCTTGGCTTCCACAACTCCCCCTATCTTAAACCCAAGCATTTCTGCTGACTTCGACTTTTTTTTTTCTAATAAAAACTTTATTTTAGGTTCAGGGGTACGTGTGAAGGTTTGTTACAGAAGGGAAACTGTGTCACAGGGGTTTGTTGTACAGATTATTTCATCACCCATGTATTATGCTCAGTATCCAATAGTTATCTTTTTCCCCTCCTACCCCTTCTCCCACCTTCCACCCTCAAGAAAATCTGTTTCTGTTTTTTCCTTCTTTGTGTTTATGAGTTCTCATAATTTAGCTCCCACTTATAAGTGAGAACATGTGGTATTTATTTATTTGTTCCTGCATTAGTTAGCTAAGGATAATGGCCTCTAGCTCCATCCATGCTCCCACAAAATACATGATCTTTTTTTTATAGCTGTATATACCACATTTTTAAAATCTAATTTGTCATTGGTAGGCATTTAGGTTGATTCCATGTCTTGCTTTTCTGGATAGTGCTGTGATGAACATTTACCTGCACATGTGCTGTATCCTTTTTTTTTTTTTTTTGAGACAGGATGTCACTCTCTCGCCCAGGCTGCGGCGCAGTGGCACAATCATGGCTCACTGCAGTCTTGACCTCCCCAGTCTCGGGTGATCCTCCCATCTCAGCTTCCCTGGTAGCTGGGACCACAGGCATGCACCACCACACCCGGCTAATTTTTGTATTTTTGGTAGAAATGCGGTTTGGCCATGTTGCCCACGCTGGTCTCAAAGTGCTTGGATTATAGCTGAGAGCCGCTGCACCTGGCCACATGTGTCTTTACAGTAAAATGATTTCTATTCTTCTGGGTGTATACCCAGTAATGGGATTGCTGGGTTGAATGGTAGTTTTGCTTTTAGCTCTTTGAGGAATAGCCATACTGTTTCCACATTGGCTTAACCAATTTATACTCCCATCAACAGCGTATAAGTGTTCCCTTTTCTCTGCAACCTTGCCAGCATCTGTTATTTTTTTACGTTTTAATAATAGCCATTCTGACTGGTGTGAGATGGTATCTCATTCTGGATTTGATTTGCATTTCTCTGATGACCAGTGATATTGAGCTTTTTTTTTTTTCATATGCTTACTGGCCACATGTATGTGTTCTTTGGAAAAGTGTCTGTTCATGTCCTTTGCCCACTTTTTAATGGGGTTGTTTGTTTTTCTCTCATAAATTTGTTTAAGTTCCTCATAGAAGCTGGATATTAGCTAGTTATCCCAGCATGTTTGATGGAATAGGGAGTCTTTTCCCCTTTGTTTTTGTCAGTTTTGTTGAAGATCAACTGGTCATAGGTGTGCATTCTTATTTCTGGGCTCTCTATTCTGTTCCATTGGTCTATGTACCTGTTTTTGTACCAGTACAATGCTGTTTGGTTACCATAGTTCTGTAGTGTAGTTTAAAGTTGGGTGATGCCTCTAGCTTTGTTCTTTTTGCTTTGGATTGCCTTTGCTATTCGGGCTTTGTTTTGGTTCCATATGAAATTTAAAATAGATTTTCCTAGTTCTGCAAAGAATGTTGTTGGTATTTTGATAGGAATATCATTGAATATGTAAATTGCTTTGGGCAGTATGGCCATTTTAATAATATTGATTCTTCCTATCCACGAGCATGGGATGTTATTCCATTTGTTTGTGTCTTCTCTGATTTCTTTAAGCACGGATCTGATTTCTTTGTAATTCTCATTGTAGAGATCTTTCACCTACCTGGTTAGCTGTACCCCTAAGTATTCTATCCTTTCTGTGGCAATTGTAATTCCCAAATTAGAAAAGGATTGCCTTTCTAATTTGGCTCTTGGCTTGGCTGTTGGTGTATAGTAATGCTAGTGATTTTTGTATATGGATTTGTATTCTGAAACTTTGCTGAAGTTGTGTATCAGCTGAAGGAGCTTTTATGCTGAGGCAATGGGGTTTTCTAGATATAGTATCATGTGGTCTGCAAACAGATAGTTTGCCTTTCTTTCTTCCTATTTACATGCCATTTTTTTCTTTCTCTTGCCTGATTACTCTGGTTAGGAGCAATTCCTATATATATGTGTGTGTGTGTGTATATACACACTTTATATATATATACTTTATATATGTATATACTTTATATATGTATATACTTTATATATACTTTATATATGTATATATACTTTATATATACTTTATATATATATACTTTATATATATACTTTATACATATATATTATATATTATATATTTTAAGTTCTGAGATACATGTGTAGACGTGGAGGTTTGTTACATAGGTATACACGTGCCATGGTGATTGATGCACCCATCAACCTGTCATCTACATTAGGTATTTCTCCTAATGCTATCCCTCCCCTGGCCCCCCACCCCCTAAAAGACCACAGTGTGTGATGCTCCCCTCCCTGTGTCCATATGTTTTTATTTTTCAACTCCCAGTTATGAGTGAGGACATGCAGTGTTTGGTTTTCTGTTCCTGTGTTAGTTTGCTGTGAACGATGATTTCCAGCTTCATCCATGTCCCTGCAAAGGACATGAACTCATCCTTTTTTTTATGGCTGCATAATATTCCATGGGTTATATGTGCCACATTTTCTTTATCCAGACTATCATTGATGGGCATTTGGGTTGGTTCCAAGTCTTTGCTATTGTAAACAGTGCTGCAATAAACATACGTGTGCTTGTGTCTTTATATTAGAATGATTTATAATCCTTTGGGTATATACCCAGTAATGGGAATGCTGGGTCAAATGGTATTGCTGGTTCTAGATCCTTGAGGAATTGCTGCACTGTCTTCTACAATGGTTGAACTAATTTTCACTCCCAAGAACAGTATAAAAGCATTCCTATTTCTCCATATCCTCTCCAGTATCTGTAGTTTCCTAACTTTTTAATGATCGCCATTCTAACTGGCATGAGGTGGTACCTCACTGTGGTTTTGATTTGCATTTCTCTAATGACCAGTGATGATGAGCTTTTTTTCATGTTTGTTGGCCACATATATGTCTTCTTTGGAGAAGTGTCGATTCATTTGCTTCACCCACTTTTTGATGGGGTTGTTTGTTTTCTTCTTGTAAATTTGTTTAAGTTCCTTGTAGATTCTGGATATTGGCCCTTTGTCAGATGGATAGATTGCAAAAATTGTCTCCCATTCTGTAGGTTACCTTTTCACTCTGTTGTTAGTTTCTTTTGCTGTGCAGAAGTTCTTTACTTTAATTAGATCTGATTTGTCTATTTTGGCTTTTGTTGCCATTGCTTTGGTGTTTTAGTCATGAAGTCTTTGCCCATCCTGAATGGTATTGCCTAGGTTTTCTTCTAGGGTTTTTATGTTTTTAGGTCTTACATTTAAGTCTTTAATTCATCTTGAGTTAGTTTTTGTATAAGGTGTAAAGAAGGGGTCCAGTTTCAGCTTTTTGCATATGGCCAGCCAGTTTTTTCAATACCATTTATTAAATAGGGAATCCTTTCCCCATTGCTTGTTTTTTGTCAGGTTTGTCAAAGATCAGATGGTAGTAGACATGTGGCATTATTTCTGAGGCCTCTATTTTGTTCCATTGGTCTATATATCTGTTTTGGTACCAGTACCATGCTGTTTTGGTTACTGTACCCTTTTAGTATAGTTTGAAGTCAGGTAGTGTGATGCCTCTAGCTTTGTTCTTTTTGCTTAGGATTGTCTTGGCAATACGGGATGGGCTCTTTTTTGGTTCCATATGAAATTTAAAGTAGTTTTTTCTAATTCTGTGAAGAAAGTCAGTGGTAGCTTGATGGGGATAGCATTGAATCTATAAATTACTTTGGGCAGTATGGCCTTTTTCACTATATTGATTCTTTCTATCCATGATCATGGAATGATTTTCCATTTGTTTATGTCCTCTGTTATTTCCTTGAGAAGTGGTTTGTAGTTGTCCTTGAAGAGGTCCTTCACATCCCTTGTAAGTTGTATTCCTAGGTATTTTATTCTCTTTGTAGCAATTGTGAATGGGAGCTCATTCATGATTTGGCTTTCTGTTTGTCTATTATTGGTGTATAGAAATGCCTGTGATTTTTGCACATTGATTATGTATCCTAAGACTTTGCTGAAGTTGCTTATCAGCTTAAGGAGATTTTGGGCTGAGGTGATGGGGTTTCCTAAATATACAATCATGTTATCTGCAAACAGATACAATTTGACTTCCTCTCCTCCTAATTGAATATGCTTTATTTCTTTCTCTTGCCTGATTGCCCTGGCCAGAACTTCCAATACTGTGTTGAATAGGAGTTGTGAGAGAGGGCATCCTTGTCTCGTGCTGGTTTTCAAAGGGAATGCTTCCAGCTTTTGCCCATTCGGTATGATATTAGCTGTGGGTTTGTCATAAATACCTCTTACTATTTTTAGATATGTTCCATCAATACCTAGTTTATTGAGTGTTTTTAGAATCAAGGGTTGTTGAATTTTATCAAAAGCCTTTTCTGCAGCTATTGAAATAATCATGGGGTTTTTATCATTGGTTCTGTTTATGTGATGGATTATGTTTATTGATTTGTGTATGTTGAACCACCCTTGCATCTCAGGGATGAAGCTGACTTGATCATGGTGAATAAGCTTTTTGATGTACTGCTTGATTTGGTTTGCCAGTATTTTATTGAGGATTTTTGCATCAATGTTCATAATGGATATTGGCCTGAAATTTTCTTTTTTCATTGTGTCTCTGCCAGGCTTTGGTATCAGAATGATGCTGGCCTCATAAAATGAGTTAGGGAAGAGTCCCTCTTTTTCTATTGTTTAGAATAGTTTCAGAAGGAATGATAGCAGCTCTTCTTTGTGCCTCTGGTACAATTCGGCTGTTTATCCATCTGGTCCTAGGCTTTTTTTGTTGGTAGGCTATTAATTACTGCCTCAATTTCAGAACTTGTTATTGGTCTATTCAGGAACTGGATTTCTTCTTAGTTTAGTCTTGGGAGGATGTATGTGTCCAGGAATTTATCCCTTTCTTCTAGATTTTCTAATTTATTTGCATAGAGGTGTTTACAGTATTCTCTGGTGGTAATTTGTATTTCTGTGGGATCAGTGGTAATATCTCCTTTATCATTTTTTATTCTGTCTATTTGATTCTTCTCTCTTTTCTTCTTTATTAGTCTGGCTAGTAGTTTATCTATTTTGTTAATCTTTTCAAGAAACCGACTCCTGGATTCATTGATTTTTGAAGGATTTTTCATGTCTCTATCTCCTTCAGTTCTGCTCTGTTCTTAGTTATTTCTTATCTTCTGCTAGCTTTTGACTTTGTTTACTCTTGCTTCTCTGGTTCTTTTAATTGTGATGGTAGGGCGTTGATTTTAGATCTCTCCCCCTTCCTCCTGTGGGCATGTAGTGCTATAAATTTCCCTGTAAACACTGCTTTAGCTGTGTCCCAGAGATTCTGGTATGTTGTGTCTTTGTTCTCATTGGTTTCAAAGAATCTATTTATTTCTGCCATAATTTTGTTATTTACCCAGTAGTCATTCAGGAGCACATTGTTCAGTTTCCATATAGTTTTACAGTTTTGAGTGAGTTTCTTAATCCTGAGTTCGAATTTGATTAAACTGTGGTCTGAGAGACTGTTTGTTATGATTCCCATTCTTTTGCATTTTCTGAGGAGAGTTTTACTTCCAATTATGTGGTCAATTTTAGAATAAGTGCTATGTGGTGCTGAGAATAATGTATGTTCTGTTGATTTGGGGTGGAGAGTTCTATAGATGTCTATTAGGTCCACTTGGTCCAGAGCTGAGTTCAAGTCCTTAATATTCTTGTTAATCTTCTGTCTAATTGATCTGTCTAATATTAACAGTGGGGTGTTAAAGTCTCCCACTATTATTGTATGGGAGTCTAAGTCTCTTTGTAGGTCTCTAAGAACTTGCTTTATGAATTTGGGTATTCTTGTATTGGGTGCATATATATTTAGGATAGTTGCATTGATCCCTTTACCATTATGTATTGCCCTTCTTTGTCTTCTTTGATCTTTGTTGGTTTAAAGTCTGTTTTATCAGAGACTGGGATTGCAACCCTTGAAGTCTTTTGCTTTGCATTTGCTTGTTAGATGTTCCTCCATTCCTTTACTTTGAGCCTATGTGTGTCTTTGCACATGAGATGGGTCTCCTGAATACAGCACACTGATGGGTCTTGACTCTTTTTCCAGTTGGCCAGTCTGTGTCTCTTAATTGGGGCATTTAGCTCATTTACATTTAAGGTTAGTATTGTTATGTGTGAATTTTATCCTGTCATTATGATGCTAACTGGTTATTTTGCCCATTAGTTAATGCACTTTTTTCATAATGTCGATCATCTTTACAATATGGTATGTTTTTGCAGTGGCTGGTACCGGCTTTTCCTTTCCCCACTTATTGCTTCCTTTAGAAGCTCTTGTAAGGTAGGCCTGGGGGTGACAAAATCTCTCATTATTTGCTGTCTGTAAAGAGTTTTATTTCTCCTTTGCTTATGAAGCTTAGTTTGGCTGGGTATAGAATTCTGGGTTGAGAATTCTTTTCTTTTAGAATGTTGAATATTGGCCCCCACTTTCTTCTGGCTTGTAGGGTTTCTGCAGAGAGATCTGCTGTTAGTCTGAGAGGCTTCTTTTTGTTGGTATTCTGACCTTTCTCTCTGGCTGCCCTTAATATTTTTTCCTTCATTTCAACCTTGGTGAATCTGACAATTACATGTTTTTGGGTTGCTCTTCTTGAGGAGTATCTTTGTGGTGTTCTCTCTATCTCCTGAATTTGAATGTTGGCCTGTCTTGCTAGGCTGGGGAAGGTCTCCTGGATAATATCCTGAAGAGTGTTTTCCAACTTGGTTCCATTCTTCTAGTCACTTTCAGGTATACCAATCAAATGTAGGTTTGGTCTTTTCACATAGTCCCATATTTCTTGGATGCTTTGTTCATTCCTTTTCATTCTCTTTTCTCTAATCTTGGCTTCATGCTTTATTTCATTAATTTGATCTTCCATCTCTTGTATACTTTCTTCCACTTGATTGATTCAGCTATTGATACTTGTGTATTCTTTACGAAGTTCTCGTGGTGTGTTTTTCAGCTCCATCAGGTTATTTATATTCTTCTCTAAATTGGTATTCTAGTTAGCAATTCCTCTAAACATTTTTCAAGGTTTTTAGCTTCCTTGCATTGGGTTAGAACATGCTCTTTTAGCTCAGAGGAGTTTGTTATTACCCACCTTCTGAAGCCTACTTCTGTCAATTTGTCAAATTCATTCTCGATCCAGTTTTGTTCCCTTGCTGGTGAGGATTTGTGATCTTTGGAGTAGAAGAGGTGCTCTGATTTTTGGTATTTTCAGCCTTTTTGTGCTGTTTTTTTTTTCTCATCTTCATGGATTTATATACCTTTGGCTTTTGATGTTGGTGACCTTCAGATGGGATCCTGAGTAGACATTTTTCTCTTGATGTTGATACTATTCCTTTCTGTTTGTTAGTATTTCTTCTAACCATCAGGCCTCTCTGCTGCAGGTCTCCTGGAGTTTGCTGGAGGTCCACTCCAGACCCTGTTCACCTGGGTATCACCAGCAGAGGTTGCCGGACAGCACAGATTGCTGCCTGTTCCTTCCTCTGGAAGCTTTGTTTAGGAGGGGCACCTGCTGGATGCCAGCTGGAGCTCTCCTGTATGAGGTGTCTGTCGATCCCTGCTGGGAGGTGTTTTTCAGTCAGGAGGCATGGGGGTCAGCGACCCACTTGAGGAGGCAGTCTGTTCCTTAGCAGAGCTCGGGCACTGTGCTGGGTGATCCACTGCTCTCCTCAGAGCTGGCAGTCACGAATGTTTAAGTCTCGAATTTGTTAATTCTTAATAAAAATGATACACATTTCTCATGTGCTCACATGATCACAGCTGTACTGTTAATATAATATGTAGCTGAATGAGAAAATAGTTAATTGAAAAAGTGATTATGATGTGAATAATGCTTTTTAGTAATTTCTTTGTCAATTAAATATTTTTCAGTTTTTATTGTTAATTAAGAAATTGATACACAACTATTGTACATGTTTCTGAGGTGCTTGTGATATTTTGATAAATCTCTATGATAACAATAATTTATTGTTTATTTCAAAATAGCTAGAAGAAAGACTTAGCATGTTCCCGACACAAATAAATGCTATATTTCTTTTTTCCCCCACTAAATATTATGTTTAATGTTTTACTGGTTCATGTAAAAATGTATTTATTTTCACTTCTGACTTGAACATGAGTTGCTTTCAAAGTTACGTTATCTCTGTTACCATAATTATTATTGGACACATTAATAGTTTAGTTTTATGATTACTCTTTTATCATCTGTGTATTCAGAGATCAGTTTACCCTACTTTTGAGATAAGAATAAATGGAAAACATGAATCCTACAAACTGGTTATGACAATCAATGGTAGCAGTACATTTTAAAGAAATATCACTGACCCCAAAAATCCATCAGAGACTATTTCGAGCACCTCTATGCACAAAAACTAGAAAACCTAAAAGAAATGGCTGAATTCCTAGAAACACACTACCTTTCAAGATTCAACCAAGAAGAAAGTAAAACCCTGAACAGACCAATAATGAGTTCTGAAATTGAATCAGTAATTTAAAAACTTACAAATCAGAAAAAGCCCTGTACCAGGCAAATTCACAGCTGAATTCCACTAGACATATAAAGAAGTGCTGGTACCAATTCTACTGAAACTATTCCAAAAAATAGAGGAGAAGTTACTCCTCCATGTTATACATGTCCATGTGAAGAGACCACCAAACAGGCTTTGTGTGAGCAATAAAGCTTTTAATCACCTGGGTGCAGGCAGACTGAATCCGAAAAAGGAGTCAGCAAAGGGAGATGGGGTGGGGCAGTTTTCTAGGATTTGTGTAGGTAGTGGAAAATTACTGTTAAAGGGGGTTGTTCTCTTGCAGGCAGGGGCAGGGGTCACAAGGTGCTCAGTGGGGAGCTCCTGAGATTCACTGTCCAGGAGAAGGAGTGTCACAAGGTCAATGCTCAGTTAGGGTGGGACTGGAACAAATCACAGTGGTGGAATGTCATCAATTAAGGCAGGAACTGGCTATTTTCACTTCTTTTATGGTTCTTCAGTTGCTTCAGGCCATCTGGATGTATATGTGCAGGTCACAGGGGATATGATGGCTTAGCTTGGGCTCAGAGGCCTGACATTACTGTCTTCTTATATTAATAAGAAAAACAAAACAAAATAGTGGTGATGTGTTGGGGGCAGCAAAAATTTTGGGGGGGGTGGTATGGAGAGATAATGGGCAATGTTTCTCAGGGCTGCTTCAGGCAGGATTAGGGGTGGCATGGGAACCTAGAGTGGGAGAGATTAAATTGAAGAAACATTTTGTGGTAAGGGGTGATATCGTGGGGTTGTTGGAAGGAGCATTTGTTGTATAGAATGATTGGTGATGGCCTGGATGCAGTTTTGTATGAACTGAGAAACTAAATGGAAGACACTAGGTCTGAATAAGAGAAGGAGAAAAACAGGTATTAAAGGGCTAAGAATTTGGAGGACCCAGGACATCCAATTAGAGAGTGAGTGCCCAAGGGGGTTCAGTGTAATTATTTGCTTGGTTGGTGAGTTTTTGGGCTCTATCCGTGAGTTTTTTTAGGTTGTCGTATACCAGGCCAGATTGATTTAGGTAAAAACAATACTCTTCATTTAAAAATATAGAGTCTCCCTTTTTCAGCAGTGAGTAAGTCAAGGCCTCATGGTTTTGGAGGACAACCGCAACTGAAGAGTCAACCTGCGCCTGAAGGACTGATAAAGATTGTGATATGTCTGCAATGCTAGCAGAGAAGTCATTAGAGAGGCTACAGAAGGTTGTGGCAGAGGTTGAATTGCCTGCTATTCCAGTTCCAAGAGCAATAGTGGAGGCAGAAAATATTGGAGTGTGCCCTGCCAGCAAAGATCATCTATCCACTCCAAGAGGGAGTCGAGAGTGGCAGTTTGGGGATAGCACCATGAGATATCAGCTGTGATGGTTTGGAGGAAAAGTGGAAACTGGCAGTGTAAACAAGAGCAGGGCATTTATGAGTAGGTGAGAATGGTGAATTGGAAAATAGCAGGGATGAAAAAGCTTGTGAGTTGCAGTCCAAGAAGTGGGGGCGGGTGTGACTGCATAAAACCCTGTTGTAGAGAGTAAGGCAAGGAAGAACAGACCTAATAAAAATGAAAGGATGTGTTAGGCTTATAAGGGTTATTACTGTTCTTTAGAAATGCGAATGAGTTTTAAGGGAAGTAGGGGAGAGTACTCGCAACTTCCAGGAGGAAGAGGAGAGATCTGGCTGGCTGTCCAATGGACACAGCTTTATTCTGTAATGGTGAACTCAATGGGGAGATTCCTGTAGATGGACGGAAGTTGGGGTGCTATAGATGACTAGGTAGGGTCCGTTCCATCGAGGCTGTAGAGTTTGAGGGGTCAGACTCTTAACAAGAACCGATCATCCAGCTAGGGTGTCTTCATATGGCTGGGAATCTGGAGTAGGCAAGAGAAGATTAGCAGCCTGGCGAATTTCCTGTCTAGCCTGCTGGAGGACTGGAAGATAGTTGCCCAGAGGGCTGGTGTCTGGAATAAGATTGGGGCTGAGCAAGAAAGTGTGTCTATATAAAAGTTCAAATGGACTGTACCCTGTAGCATCTCGAGGGCAGGCTCTAATTCTGAGAAAGGCAAGTGGTAGAAGTACTGTCCAGTCCTTTTTAAGTTAGAGGCTGAGCTTGGTGAGGTGTGTTTTTTAAAGAGCATTAGTCCATTTTACCTTTCCTGAAGATTGAGGACAGTAAGGGGTATGAAGTTTCCACTGAATACCAAGAACCTGAGAGACAGCTTGGGTGATTTGACTAATAAAAGCTGGACCATTGTCAGATTGAATAGAAGTAGGGAGGCCAAATCAGGGAATTATATCTGTTAGAAGGGAAGAAATGACTGCAATAGGCTTTTTGGAACTAGTGGGAAAGTCCTCGAGCCATCCGGTGAAGGTGTCGATCCAAACCAGGAGATACTTAAATTTACGGACATGGGGCATATGAGTAAAGTCTAACTGCCAATCATGAGTTGAAGTAAATCCACAAGCCTGATGCTCAGGAAAAGGAGGAGGCCTGAGAAAGCCTTGGGGGCTGGTGGCATGGCAGACAGAGGATTGAGAGGTTATGGTCTTAAGGATGGACTTCCATGAAGAGAAGGAGATGAGGAGCTGCAGGAATCAAGCCACAGGCTTGTATCCCACATGGAAGTGGTCATGAAGGGAAGAAAGAATGGACTGAGCTTGTGAGGCAGGAAGAATGAATTTTCCATGATTTATAAGAACCACTTGCCTTGAGTTGGAAAAGACTGGTAGAGCAGGTTTTCAGAAAAGTAGGTGGGAGTGTTGGAGGAGAAGGAGAAATACTGGACCTCTGGAGTGAGGGCTGGAATATTAGTGGATGTGGAGGCATCAGCTATTTCTTTTGCCGTCCTGTTGGCATAGGCATTTCCTTTTGCAATAAGATCAGTAGGTTTCTGGTGCCCTTTATAATGAATGACTCCAGCCTTGGCTGGCAGGAAAGCAACCTTAAGGAGGGCCTTTGTTAGGGAGGCATTGATAATGGAAGAGCCTTGTGTGGTAAGGAAGCCTCTTTCAGCCCAGAAGGCAGCATGGTTATGGAGGATATAGAAAGCATATCTGGAGTCAGTATAAATGTCAATGTGCATTCCTTTAGTGAGAGAATGCGGTAGTTAAAGCAATCAGTTCAGCTTATTCGGAAGTGGTGGAGGGAAGTGCAGCAGCTTCAATAGTAGCGGTGTGGGACACGACAACATATCTAGCTTTAGCTGGTGAAAATTGATTGGGTTTAGAAGAACTGCCATCAATAAACCAAGTGTGGTCTGTGTTTGGAATTGGCAGAATAGGAATATGAGGACGGGGGAGGATGCTATGTTTATTAGGGAAATACAGTCAGGTGGTTCAGGACTTGTGCTGGGTGCTAAGTGAGAAAGTGGGTTGAAATCAGGCCTATGGATAATAGTTACTGTTGGAGTTTTAACAAAGAGTGAATAGAGCTGGAGGAGTTGAGGGGCAGACAATAAATGTGAAAGGTATGGGGAGGATATTAATGCTTGAAGGTTGTGAGAACTGTAAAGGGTAAGTGGAGCATAGCCTGTGATTTTGAAGGCCTCTAGAAGTATTAAAGCAGTGCCTGCCGCCCCATGCAGAGCCAGCCCAGAACTGTGAGGTCAAGTTTCTTTGATAGAAAGGCAACAGGTTGTGAGCCTGGCTCCTGTGTGAGGACTCCGGCAGCACAGACTTGTATTTCCGCTGTGTGTAAGGAAAAGGGATGGGACGAGTTGGGGAGTGCAAGTGTAGGAGCTGTCTCCAGGACCTTTTTGAGAAAGTGAAAGGAAGAATGGGGAAAAGACTTAGGATCTATGGGATTAGTTAAGTTATCCTTTGTGAGCTTGTAAAGTGGTTTTGGTTAGAATAGCAAAGCCTGGTATCCAGAGTTGGAAATATCCAACAATGCCTAAGAAGGAAAGGAGTTGTTTGGTGGTGGGGATTGGGGTCTGGGAGATTAACTGAATACGGTCTGCAGGAAGGGCACATGTATGTTGATGGAGGATTATACTGAGATAGGTAACACTAGGAGAAGAAATTTGTGCCTTGGAGGGGGATACTTGGTACCCCTTTCAGTAGAGATGTTGAAGAAGCAGGATAGTGTCCTGCTGGGAAGATTAGTAAGAGGGGCTGCAAAGGAGATCATCAAAATATTGAATAAGGTGAGAGGCAGATGGGGAAGAAGAAAGCAGATCATGAGAAGGGGCCTGGCCAAAGTAGTGTGGGCTGTCCCTGAAGCCTTGGGGCAGAACAGTCCAGGTGAGTTGTTGGGATTAGTGGGTGTCAGGGTCAGTCCAAGTAAAGGCAAAAAGAGGCTGGGAGGAGGGATGCAAGGGGATAGTAAAGAAAGCATCTTTGAGGTCGATAACAGAATAGTGAGTTGTGGAAAGGGGTATTGAAGATAGGAGGGTGTACAGGTTTGGCACTATAGGATGGATGGGAAGGACAATTTGATTAACAAGGTGAAGATCCTGAACCAACCTGTAAGACTTGTCCAGTTTCTGGAGGGGTAGGATAGGGGAGTTGTAAGGAGAATTTGTAGGCTTTAAGAGGCCATGTTGTAACAGGTGAGTTATAACAGGCTTTAACCCTTTTAAAGCCTGCTGTGGGATGGGATATTGGCGTTGAGCAGGGTAAGGGTGATTAGGTTTTAATGGGATGATAAGGGGTGCATGATCGGTTGCCAAAGTAGGAGTAGAGGTATCCCATACGTGTGGATTAAGGTAGGGAGACATAAGGGGAGGATGTGAAGGAGACTTTGAACTGGGGAAAAGGGTGGCAATGAGGTGTGGCTGTAGCCCAGGAATAGTCAGAGAAGCAGATAGTTTAGTTAAAATGTCTTGACCTAATAAGGGAGCTGGGCAGGTGGGGATAACTAAAAAGGAGTGTATAAAAGAATGTTGTCCAAGTTGGCACCAGAGTGGGGGAGTTTTAAGAGGTTTAGAAGCCTGACCATCAATACCCACAACAGTTATGGAGGCAAGGGAAACAGGCCTTTGTAAAGAAGGTAATGTGGAGTGGGTAGCCTCCGTATCAATTAAGAAGGGACTTACCTCCACTGTAAGTTACCTGAAGTGTCTGTGATGGTCCAGGAGGCTTCTGAGGCAATCAGGCAGCATCAGTCTTCAGCCACTAAGCCAAGAAGATCTGGGAAGGAGTCAGTCAGAGAGCCTTGGGGCAGAGTTCCAGGGGCTCTGGGAGTGGCTTTTGGGCAAGCTGGACAGTCCGATTTCGAGTGGGGACCTGCACAGATAGGACACGGCTTAGGAGGAATCCTGGGCTGCGGGCATTCCTTGGCCCAGTGGCCAGATTTCCGGCACTTGAAGCAAGATCCTGGGGGAGGAGGTCCTGGAGGAATGCCTGGCCACTGTGGTTTAGGCGTTTTGAAGTTCTTGTGTGCTGGAGATGTGGCTGGGGTTTCTCTCAGAGCGGAGGCAAGTAATTGCAATCCAGAAATACATTGCCGCTTGGCTGCCTCTTCTCTATTATTGTACACCTTGAAGGCAAGGTTAATTAAGTCCTGTTGTGGGGTTTGAGGGCGGAATCTAATTTTTGGAGCTTTTTCTAATGTTGGGAGTGGATTGGGTAATAAAATACATATTGAGAATAAGATGGCCTTCTGGTCCCTCTGGGTCTAGGGCGGTAAAGCATCTAAGGGTTGTTGCCAAACCAGCCACGGACTGGGCTGGGTTTTTATATTTGATGAAAAAGAGCCTAAACGCTAACCAATTTGGGAGAGGTCAGATAAAGAAAAAAGGAGCATTAATCTTGACTATGCCTTCAGCTCCGGCCACCTCTCTAAAATGAAATTGTTGGGCAGGTCGGGGAGAGCTACTTACAGAAAGAAACTGTAAGCCAGACTGGGTGTGAAGAGGTGAGGTGATAGAAGCATTATAGGGTGGGAGAGTGGAGGTTGAGGAAGAATTGGGACCTGGCTCGGCCTGGTGAGGAGCAGCCTGGGGAGGAGGGGCAAGGTCAGATGGATCTGTAGAAAAAGAGGATTCAAAGGACTCAGAGCTTGGGGTGGAGACTGAAGGAACACATAGGAGAGAAAGAAGAAATATTTGGCACGAGTTGCAATGGGAGCAGAGACTAGGGAGGGACCGATGTGTAAAGAATGCCTGGACATCAGGCACCTCAGACCATTTGCCCATTTTACAACAAAAATTATCTAGATCTTGTAGGATAGACAAATCAAAAGTGCCATTCTCTGGCCACTTGAAACTATTGTTGAGTGTGTATTGGGGCCAAGTGGTATTACAGAAGAAAATAAGATGTTTAGGTTTTAGGTCAGGTGTTAGTCGAAGGGGTTTTAGGTTTTTAAGAACACAGGCTAAGGGAGAAGAAAGGGGAATGGAGGGCAGAAGGTTGCCCATAGTGAAGGAGGTAAGTTTAAAGAGAAAAGTAGAGACACAGAGAAGGTGGGGGTGAGTAGCCGTGGGCTGTAATGTGGGTGAGCAGCCAAAGCAGGTGTCCCCACAACTGACTTGTCACCAAGGGAATGTGGGTGAATGACCAAGGCAGGCATCCTCATGGTGATCAGACACCAGTGGAATGTGGGTGAATGATTGAATGATCAAGGCTGGCGTCCCAGCAGTGATCAGACACCAATGGAATGTGGGTGAATGATCAAGGCAGGCATCCCTGTGGTGATCAGACACCAATGGAATGTAGATGAATGATCAAGGCAGGCATCCCCGCTATGATCAGACACCGAGGGAAGACCATCTTCCCATATCCGTGACCGACGTCGGAGTTTTTGAGTTCACGGATAAAATGTGTCTCCTTTGTTTCCACTAGAGAGGAAAAAGAACTGGAATTGGAAGAACAGGGAGATTGAAGGGTAGCGAGAGAAGCTGGAGAAGAGTGAAGAGACTGCTTACCTGATTTGAAATTGGTGAGATGTTCCTTGGGCTGGTCTGAGGACCTGAGGTTGTAGGTGGATTTCCTCACGGAGTGAGGGTGAGGACAGGGGGCTAGTCTCCTGGAGCAGTCCCCCTGTCCCAGGTCTTCGGCACCAAATGTTATGTGTGTCCACGTGAAGAGACCACCAGACAGGCTTTGTGTGAGCAATAAAGCTTCTTAATCACCTGGGCATAGGCAGAATGAGTCCAAAACAGAAGTCAGCAAAGGGAGATAGGGGTGGGGCAGTTTTATAGGATTTGGGTAGGTAGTGGAAAATTATAGTTAAAGGGGGTTGTTCTCTTGCATGCAGGTGCAGCAGTCGCAAGGTGCTCAATGGGGAGCTCCTGAGATTCATTGTCCGGGAAAAGGAATGTCACAGGGTCAATTGATCAGTTAGGGTGGGGCAGGAACAAATCACAATGGTGGAATGTCATAAGTTAAGGCAGCAACTGGCTATTTTCACTTCTTTTGTAGTTCTTCAGTTGCTTCAGGCCATCTGGATGTATATGTGCAGGTCACAGGGGATATGATGGCTTAGCTTGGTCTCAGAGGCCTTACACTCCCTAACTCATCTTATGAGGCCAGCATCACTCTGATACCAAAGCCTAGCAGAGGCACAACAAAAAAAAAATTTTAGGCCAATATGCTTGATGAACATGGGTGCAAAAATCCTCAGCAAAATGCTAGCAAACTGGATCCAGCAGCATATCAAAAACTTAATCCACCACAATCAAGTAGGCTTTATTTCTGGGATGCGAGGTTGGTTCATCACCCACACATCAATAAATGTGATTCACTACATAAACAGAACTAAAAGCAAAAACCATGTGATAATCTCAACAGACAGAAATGGCTTTTGATGAAATTCAACATCCCTTCATGTTAAAAACCCTCAACACACCAGACATTGAAGAAACATTCCTCAAAATATTGAGAGCTATGTATGACAAACCTGCAGCCAACATCATACTACATGGGCAAGAGCTGGAATTATTCCCCTTGAGAACCAGAACAAGACAAGGATGTCCCCTCTCATTACTCCTATTCCAAATAGTACTGGAAGTCCTAGCCAGAGCAATCAGGCAAGAGAAATAAATCAGGCAAGAGAAAGAAATAAAAGTCATCCAAATAGGAAGAGGGAAAGTCAAACGATCTCTCTTCAGAGATGATATGATTATATACCTAGAAAACTCCACTCTCTGCCAAAAGGCTCCTAGATCTGATAAACGATTTCAGAAAAGTTTCAGAATACACAATGAATGTGCAACTATTAGTAGCATTTATATACACCAATAACATCCAAGCTGAAAGCCAAATAAAAATGCAATCCATTTACCATAGCCACAGAAAGAATGAAATACCTAGGAATACAGCTAACCAGGGAAGTGAAAGATCTCTGCAATGAGAATTAAAAAACACTGCTGAAAACCAGAGATAACATAAACATATGGAACAGCTTTTCATGCTCATGGATAGGAAGAATCAGTATTGTTAAATGGGCATACTGCCCAAAGCAATTTACAGATTCAATGGTACTACTAGTGTGAAAGGAAAATGTCTTGAGCCCCCCAAATCACTAAGGAAAACTCAAGCTGGAAACCGCTTAGGGCAAACCTGCCTCCCATTCTATTCAAAGTCAACCCTCTGCTCAGTGAGAGAGAATCATATCTAATTACCTCCTTTGGAAAGGCTAATCAGAAACTCAAAAGAATGTAATCGTTTGTGTATCACCTAGTGTAACCTGGGAGCTCCCTCTCTGCTTTGAGTCTTCTTTCCTTTGCTTCAAGTTGTCCCACCTTTCCAGACCAAACCACTGTACTTCTTACATATATAGATTGATGTCTCATGTCTCCCTAAAATGTGTAAAACCAAGCTGTGCCCTGACCACCTTGGGCACATGTCATCAGGACTTCCTGAGGCTGTCACAAGTGCTTCCTCAACCTTGGCAAAATAAACTTTCTAAATTAATGGAGACCTGTCTCAGACTTTCTGGGTTCACACTAGCAATCTACCAATAACATTTTTCACAGAATTAGAAAAAAAATGATTCTAAAATTTATATCAAACAGCAACAACAAAAAAGCCTGAATAGTCAAAGCAACCCTAAGCAAAAACAAACAAACAAAAAACACAAAACCAAACACACACACACACACACACACACACAAAACAAAGCTGGAGGCATCACATTACCTGACTTCAAGCTATACTGCAAGGCTACCATAATTAAAACAACATGGTACTGGTACAAAAACAGACTCATAGATCAATGGAATCAGTTAGAGAACCCAGGAATAAAGCCTCACACTTACAGTAATCTGATCTTTGACAAAGCCAACAATAATAAGCAATGGGGAATGACTCTGTATTCAGTAAATGGCGCTGAAAAAACTGGACGGCCATAATCAGAATATCGAAGCTGGACAACTACTTTTCACTATATACAAAAATCAACTCAAGATGGGTTAAAGACTAAACTGTAGAACCTAAAAGTGTAAAAATCCTAGAAGAAAACCTAGGAAATGCCATTCTGTACATCGGCCCTGACAAATACTTTATAATGAAGACTCCAAAAGCAATTGCAACAAAACAAAAATTCACAAGTATGACCTAATTAAACTAAAGAGCTTCTGCACAGCAAAAGAAACTATCAACAGGATATGCAGACAACCTATAGGATGGGAGAAAATATTTGCAAAGTATATCTGACAAAAGTCTAATATCCAGAATCTATAAAGAACTTAAATCAACAAGCAAAGAAAAGGGAATGCTTATACACTACTGGTGGGAATGTAAATTAGTTCAGCCACTGTGAAAAGCAGTCGGAGATTTCTCAAAAAACTTAAAACATAACTACTATTTGACTCAGCAATCCCATTACTTATATATCCAAAGGAATATAAATCATTTAGCCATAAAGACATATGCATGTATATGTTAACTGTAGCACTATTCACAATAGCAAAGACATGGAATCAACTTAGATTGCCATCAATGGTGGACTGGATTTAAAAAATGTGGTTGGCTGGGTGTGGTGGCTCACGCCTGTAATCCCAGCACTTTGGGAGGCCGAGGCGGGCAGATCAGGAGGTCAAGAGATCGAGACCATCCTGGGCAACATAATGAAACCCAACTACTAAAAATTAAAAAATTAGCTGGGAGTGGTGGTGCGCACCTGTAGTCCCAGCTACTTTGGAGGCGGAGGCAGGAGAATCACTTGAACCTGGGAGGCAGAGGTTGCAGTGAGCCAAGATTGCGCCACTGCACTCCAGCCTGGTGACAGAGTGAGACTTCGTCTCAGAAAAAAAAATAAATGTGGTTCATTTTTGAGGGATAGTTTTCCTGGATATAAGACTCTTGGTTCAACGTTCTTTTAGAACTTTGGCTGTCATCCCCACTGCCTTCTAGTCTCCAGTATTTCTGATGAGAAGTCAGATGATAATCTTACTGAGGTTCTCTTGTACATGATGAGTCATTTTCCTCTTGCTGCTTTCAAAACTGTCTCTTTGACTCTAGCTTTTAGTGTTCCTATTATGATGCAACTGAATGTGAATATTTTTACATTAATCCTATTTAGAGAAAGGAGCTTTTTAGATATATAATTTTTTTCATCAACTTTAATGTTTCAGCAATTAATTCTTTGAATATTTTTTTAACTTGCTTCTCTCTGCTCCTTTGATACTTCCATTATGTGTACTTTGGTGTCATCAGTGGTATTCCATACTTGTCTGAGGATCTGTTCATTTTATTTTTTTCTTGTTGCTCAGATTGCATAATCTCTATCAGCCTATCTTCAAGTTCACTGATTCTTTCTTCCATCAGTTCAAATCTACTGTTGAGCTCCTCTAGTGAAGTTTTCACTGTGCTTTTCAACTCTAAAGTTTCCATTTGTTTCATTTTTAAAATACTTTATCTCCCTTTTTAGTAGTCTCTATTTGATGAGACACTCTTATCATACCTTCTTTTACTTCTTTAAGCATGATTTTATTTCCTTGAACATATTTATATTGGTTGTTTTGATCTATGATAAATCTGACATTTGGGGCCTCTCACTGGCAGTTTCTATTGTCTGCTCGTTTACTTGTGTATCAGTCATGCTTTCCTATTTTTTTACAAGTCTCATAGTTTTTTTGTTGAAAACTAGACATTTGAGTAATATAATGTTACTAAATTAAAACTAGACATTGTAGTAACTTTGTATACTGACTCCCCGTCCTGGGTCTTGTTTTATTTTTTGTTTGTTAGTGACTTGGCCAGGCTATTTTAGTAAATTTCCTCCACAGTGTGAAGCCTCTGGTGTTACCCTTCAGAGAGCACAGCCTTGGGCATGGACATAAACAACCTGGGATGAGAATAGTTTGAGCAGGGCTTTGGATGTCTTGTCTTTGCAATGTCATTTGCTGATTTTTGTTAACCAGTCTTCGTCATTTGGTATTATACTCAGCTGGGAGGATCCATTAATTGCTGGCTGGGTGCTCTATTGGTTTTGATAATGCCCTGGGGACATAAATTGCTCCACAGTGTGATCTAATTTTGCAGGGGTAGTTCTTGAGGTCACTTTTTGAGATTTGTTCTGACCCCAGAAAAGCTCTTTCCCTGGTTGTCACTGGTAAACTCACTGTTTTATGGCCTAGCTTGTTGTCTCATAGAGTCTCAGCCTTGTCTTAACTCCTTAGCACCAAATATTCATTGTTTTTTAATGTACCCTTAGGCTTGAACTTTCAACACTCTGCTTCAAATACAGTCAGTTTCTTTGGACAGAGCTTTTGAATGTTCTGTTCTTCCCCTGTCCCTAGACAAAACCTTCTATGCCACTGTTCCAAGGGCAGTGCACTGAAGAGTGGTAGCTTTTACTTTTCTTTGCTTGCCTCTCCCAGTGTTGGACCTCTGTTTATGAGTGAGCTAGGGCAAAGGTGATAAGAGTTCCAGTATTCTTGGCTCAACATGCTTGGCATAGGGTATCCACCTTATGTATGGAGTGCAGGAAGGTAGCCCCAGTCTTTTGTTTAGATCTCTGGGAATGTAGCCTTGACAACTCAGAAGTGAAAGTGATAAGAAATGCTGGCATTCTGCCCCTCTCAGTGAGATACTATATTCCTTGACTGGGAGCTGAGGGGAAAGGAATCCTTTTCTTCTTGGCCACACCTGTCCAGAGTGGAGCTTCCATCACACTGAGCTGGGTAGGAAAGCAGGCTGTGGCTCAAGTGCCATAGACTCTTGCTCTTCTTAGTGAGATTTAGTAGAGTATCTTGAATAAGTATTACTTCATTTGTTGTTTTCTCTTAAGACAATTTTCAGAGACTTGGAATTAAAAAAATTGTATCAGTCATGGTTGTTTTACAGGGCAATGAGCCACACCACCATTATGGAAGTGCCATTATAATTTATGAACATTTCTTTAAAAATCATAACTGATTAAAAGTATTTATAAATCAAAATATGAACATGTTATTATTTTTCAGATATTATCAAAACAAAATTTGAGAAAAAGGATATATCATAAATTTTAATAGAAAATTCAATGATGGATAAACCACGTGGTTCGATAGGACCCAAACGAAACCATTAATATACATAGCAGAAAAATACTGCTTTTCTTAATAAAAATAGCTTTTGACTTTTTATTTCCCCAAAATTAAAAATGTTTCTACAAAAAATGGGCAAATATCCTAAAAGACATTTTGGAAAAAAAGAAATAAACACATATGAAAATAATTTCAATCCTATTCTAATTAGTAAGTTGAAATTGAAAAGTTGAGGCATTTTTTTGTCCTGAAATGGCTTATATTTAAGTGACTGTTAGGAACCAACCATGTTGCAAATGTTTAGAAAATGATCAGTTTCATAATCTATGTGGAGAAGGATAAATTCTTTTTGTAAGACAATTTGCTGTTATCTTTCACAATAAAAATGTACATAAAAATATTTTGAACTAACTTTGATTAATTTCATTTCTAGGAGTTTATTCTGCATGCATCCTAAAATATTTGTGAAACATTACTTTCATGTAAAAAATTGGAAACAGCACACATGATCATCAAGAACGAGCTAGTTAACTGAATATTATATACATTTAACATAATTACACAAGTTTGCATATACTCATATAGAAACAGGGTCAAATTATATTCGTAATTAAAAGTGGTAGAGCATTGAATATATCGTATTTCATTTGAATGATATAATGCAGCATAATTTGTCTTACTGCGACATTATTGGTTTTTGGAGGGTGATGTGCCTCATGTTAGAAGAGTTACATATTTAATTTTCACTTTATACTCTAATAAATATATTCTTTATATATGTAACAAAATTTGAATTATTCAAAATAACTTAAAATTTGAAAATAATTAAGCAATTTATTTTGATTCTGTTACTTAGGTTTGACAAACAACATAGTAAAGGACATATCTTTTTATATAATTCCCAAAGCATTAATGTGATTAAAGGATGTGTGTTTTATCATATACAGTGTCTACCATTGTCTGAGGTGCTTTGATTCTACAACTTAAAACTTTCCAGCTGCTGCAGTTTCTGACTGCACAATATTATACTCACAAAATTAAAATCATTACCAAATGATTTTCTTACAATATGTCAAACAATTTAGTGAGTTAAAAATAGATGTGATTTAAAAAAGTAAAATAAAAAAAGATTCTTGAAAAATATGCATTTTGGTTTAGATCCTTGTCTTAGTCAAATTAAAAAAGAAAACAAAACCTATTAGAGTCTACTAGATCAATGCACTCTTTGTGGCTTAAATTTGTTTGTGTAAGTTCTACTACTAGCTATTTACTGCTAAACTCACTTTCTCACTAATGGTTTGCTCATAAATTTTTTCTTCTAACAAAAAACGTATCAGTTCAAATAAAAAGATGAGAAGTTTTCTTTTCTCAGATGTTTGGTTATTCTTCTTGAAAGCAGACAATTCACTATAAATTACTTTCAAGGGCTTTGGTTTCCTATATTTTTACTGCATTTCTCCTCAACTTCCAAGTTAAAACTAAGATACAACTTGACATTTATTTTTCTGAAGCATCATGTGCATTACGGCTTTTATATTCTAAAGGTGTGAGAAAGGAAAAATGGAGCACACATTGGGAATGTTGACGCTGGATTGTGCTTTTATCTGTAGTTATTCATGTTTCAGGCAGTTCATTCCTACTTTCTGAGAAATTGATGAGTTGTTGTGTTTGTCCTTGCTATCTGTCTTTCTGGATAATGGGAAAATTCTCAAGGATTCTGAATAAGAGACTCATATTTGATGTTTAAAGTCAAAGGAGGAGCAAGGGAGATTTTCACATAAGCAGTTATTTACCAGAGGGAAGGGCAGGGCCCAAGGGATCTCATTATGAAGTGAATGGAATTACTGGCATTGATGATCTCACTTTGTTCCTATCCCAAAAGATTCTGTTACTTTAGATTTTAACTTCTCCCAATGCTATGTGAAGCAATTAAAACGTTTCAGATAAATTTCATAGTAGTTCGTACAGCAAAATTACTTTTAGAGTTTTTTCTCTTCAAGGAAATACACAATAAAATAATTAACTGTTCAGAATGAAAGTGAACTAGCTAAAACTCAACCCAATGTCTTTCATTTTCAGACACTAGGAATTCGTCAAAGCAACCAGATCACCAGGGACTAGCAACAATATCTAATAACCCCCTTCTTCAGGGATGATTAGCTAGTTAAGTGCCTGGAATGTCTCTGTAGACAAGACTTGAGGGAAAAAGCTTTAATATTATGTTGCTTCATTGCCAGATCTATTCATAAAGGGATTATTCTACCTCTCAGATGAGAAAATCTGAATCTGCAAACTGGCTTAATATGGAAACTGGGTAAAAAGCCATGAATCCCTATTATATTGTTTCAAGTTATGTTTCTGTCTCCACACCTAGAATTTTTTCTGCTAATATACTCCAGCTAACATCTTAGTAGGTATCTTAGTCCATTTGGGTTGCTATAACAAAATACCATAAACTGGGTAGCTAATAAACAAAAAAAATTTACTTATCATAGTTCTAGAAGTTAGGAAGTCTGACATTAAGGTTCTGGCAGATTGGTGTCTGGTGAAGGCCCCTTTATGGTTCACAGATGGTGTCTTCTCACTGTGTCTTCACATGGTGGAAGAGACAAAGCAGCTCTCTGAGGCCTCTTCTATAAAGGCATGAATTCCATTCAAGAAGGCTGTGCCCTCATGATTTAATCACCTCCCAAGGGCCTACCTGCTAACACCATCACACTGGTGATTAGGTTTTAACATGTTTTGGGGGACACAGACATTCACAATACAGTGGTAGGTTACCCAAATATTGTGTTTTTAAGTACCGTTTGATAAACTGTGTATCACTACAGGTCCCTGTAGGTCACAATACCCTAGTCAATGTGACTTACTTGTAGTAACTACTTCCACTTTGTCTATGATGGTGTCACTTCCTGGCATTTAATTTTCCAGAATTATCATTTTTCTCAAGACCATATAATCCAATTTCAGTTTCATTCCCCACCATCAGCTCTGCACCAAAGAATTCAGATGCCACAGAGCATTTTAAGACCACTGATGCCCTCCTCACTGATCCATTTCTTAATGCTATAGGGAAGAAAATGTCTTCCAATCTTATAGCACAGGGTCTTATGTACAGAGGGCAGATGGCCATACTGTATTAGATTACAAAATCTCTATTGACTACTGATTCCTTATTTTACAAGGTACTGTGGAAATTCTAGCTTTTCAACCTCATTAGCTATAGGCTATCTCTGAGTTCAAGCTTCAGTGAGCTAATGTGAAAGAAGATCAATAACACTTTCAGGAGTTTGAGCCAATGCTTGTATCCTGTGCTCTGGGTGATAGCACTCATGTCATTAAATTCAGTTCATTCAAGCTCTGTATTTCATATTCCTTGACATCCACCCCCAAACATACTCTTAAAGTTCTCATCTATATCGTAAGAAACTGCATATCTTTTTTTGTTAATAGACCATGTTATTATGGAGCAGTATTTGTGTTTAACCGTATCTCTTTGTTGTTATAATTTTCCCTGATGATTGGTGAAGTTGGGCACATTTTCATGTGTTGGCCATATGGCTATCCTCTTTTGTGAAGTGATTGTTCTATCACATTGTTTGTGTTTTTTCTTACTGATTTGTAGAAATTCTTTTTATATTCTGAATAGTTCTTACACACACACACACATTGCCTCTCTTAATGGACCTCCTTTATATATTTGATTTGTTAATATTTAGGGATGTTTGCAACTGTGTTTATGAAAGATACTGATAAACATTTTTTATTTTTTTGTAAATCCTTGTAATGTTTTTAAGTCTAGCTTATGCTGGCCTTATAAAAAGAATTAATGAATACAAAATGTTTACTTACTACCAACTTATATAAAAAAGATTAGTGAAGTTGTTGAATGAACACAAAAATTTAAAACTAAGAATGATTTATTAACATTGTAACCATATCAACATCCATATCCAATCTAGTCCTACATTTTATTTTAGTAGCAAAATTTTGAGAAAGTCCAGATTCCTGCAGCAAATAGCTACAAATAGAAGTATATTTTAGACCAGTAACCTAATATGTCTTAAAATAGGTAGAGATGGCAGGAGTATTTGGAATCTAAACAAAAATGTTTTAATCTTAATAGGAACAGATGAATGGTGAATTATAGCCAAAACTCATAGTTAACACATGAATTAATGAATTTTTGTTATAGTATAATAGTTTAATTATATTTAAAATTATTAAATAATATAAATTATAATCTGAATTTAATCTTTATAAAATGCTCCCCCGTACCCCAGTTGACATAACCCTTAGACTTTACGGAACCTGTTTTGTTGCCACAACTGTAGATGAATCATCCAAGATAATAAGTAGTGTTTTTGAAAGACATTTTTAATTTTTTAAAGAATGAACCCTTGACAATGAGGGACATTGATACTAAAATACAAGCAAAATTTTTAGGTATTTTCTTTTTCAGATGATGACTACTACTAAAATAAGTTGACTATAATTTAAAGGTTAGACAAAGATAATTTCTTTATTGGGAATTTCTTTTTTTATTTTTTTTTTTGTTTGTTTTTGATTCGGAGTCTCGCTCTGTCGCCTAGGCTGGAGTGCAGTGTAGCGATCGCGGCTCACTGCAAGCTCCGCCTCCCGGGTTCACGCCATTCTCCTGCCTCAGCCTCCAGAGTAGCTGGGACTTCAGGTGCGAATTTTTTGTATTTTTAGTAGAGATGGGGTTTCACCATGTTAGCCAGGAGGGTCTCGATCTCCTGACCTTGTGATCCCCCTGCCTCGGCCTCCCACAGTGCTGGGATTACAGGCGTTAGCCACCGTGCCCGGCCAGGAATTTCTTGTAAAAAGATGTTAGTGACCTATTGTGTCTCCAGAACCTTTTTCTTTTCCAATAAGCCTTTTCATGGCCCACTTGAACTCCTTATTCCTTAGTGGGATGGGTTCAAGGTGGGAGTAACAATGGAGTAAAATATATGGAGAAGTTTGCCCTCATCCTGAGATGGACTGTTTCCTGGCTCTATATACCTATATCTAACAGTCCCATAGAAGATGGATACCACAATGAGATGGGAGAAACAGGTCCCAAATGCTTTTTGTCTTCCTGCTGCAGACTTGATCTTGAGTACAGCCATAGCAATGAAGCCATATGACACAAGAATGAGAAGAAGTGATGCAAGGAAAATGAAAACAACAACAACAACACAATGCAAATAAGGTTTCTGACAGAGCAGGAGCATCACCATCTTGGACAAGCCCCTTATTCTATAGTTCATTTTAATAAAAAACCACCTAATCCAAAGGGCCTCAGCCTAATGGCTAAGGTCAGCACGACCATAAACCACAAATAACATCCCAACCAGAAACCTTCCAAACTCCTCCCCGACCAGAGTCATGCTAGCCTCTAGATAAGCCCTCTCAAGCTGGGAAGATGCTAGCCCAGAGATAACCCCCCTCCAGGCCAGAAAGATGTCTGCCCCAAGATAACCTCCCCTCTTCCCAGAGAGATTCCAACCCCGCCATAAACTTCTCCACACACATAAACATTCCAAGCTTGTAATAAGCCCCCTCACCCTAAAACCAATATATGTTCTTAGCCCCCTCACCCTAAAACCAATATATGGAATCAGCCAGGAGTGCTGTCAGGTTTTAATTAAGGAAAACCTGTCTTTAACTGCCAGCCACGTTTCGTGTTTCTTTCTTCTTTCTTTAACTCTTACAGTTTCCTCCATGACTGTGGTAGCCCCACATGCAATTTTGACCATTGCAGATATTTCACAAAAATAGTGATCCAGGTGGTGGTCTCCGCATCGAGGAAGACTCACAGGACAGGGGGAAAGTATCATGCAATTAGTGACACCAATTAACCAGGTCATGGCCACCAGGCCTTGACAGAGTTGGGGGTTCATTATGGTCATATAGTCCAGAGGCTTGCAGACAGCATTGAATGGGTCATATGACATCACAGCCAGAAGCATACATTCAACCGTGCATAGCGTCACATTAGTGAAAAGTTGAAAAGCACAGCCACCAAAAGTGATTTTCTTGTCTTTACCCCAGGCATTGACCAACATCTGTGGGACTATATTTGTGGTGTAACAAAGATCCAAGATAGCCAGATTTCTAAGAAAGAAATATATGGGGGTTTGGAGATGTTTATCCAGTAATGGCAGCAGGATAAGGACCATATTTCCCATCAAAGAAATTGCATAGAAGAAAAAGACAACCCCAGAGATGATCATCTCCAGCTGAGGCTTCCCAGGGAACCCAAGGAGCATAAGCCAACCAAAGTAACTATCATTGATCATTTTTGCTATTTTCTGAATATCAGCTGTGAAAATTTAAAAAATAGTCAACATTTTGGAAGCCATAATGAATATATTTAGATATAATATTAGCAGTATATATAGCTAGGAAAAGTACATAATGGGATTGAAAGAAAATATAAGTATTTTATATTTCACCATTGTTCTAATGTTTTATCTGTTTATCCAACTAAGTGTAAAATTTATACCCAGGGCAATTTGCCTTACAAGGTCTATATTCTCAATTACATTGTATATTTCTATACCAAGGCAAAAAAAAAAAAATCTACAAAAATCTCAAAGGTGAATCATGAGCAAAATGGCTAAATAAAACTGGATGGATCTCCCCTTATTAAAAAGGATATTACGAAGGGGTTAGAAATCTGTTACAAGTTATCACCTCCTTTAGCCAAGGGTTCATAGAGAATGCAGGTTTTATACCTTTTATGCCTTTTTTCTAATATTTAAGCTGAACAGTTTTAATCCTGCTGTCCACCTTCACTCTGCTATGTAAATCTTCTGACCTTAAATTTTTAAAATTCAAACTTTTTTCTTTCATCTCAAAACTTGTATTTCCAAATATTATTTGCCTTTCCTTTCCAACTCCCTTGAGACAGCCAGGTGGGAGGTGTTCCCTGGAGAAACTCCAACCAGCCTGCCCACTGAGGTGGAGCCTCCAGAAGTTCATGATGTTTGCCACAGGAAGGAGCCTGGCTCCTCCTTTTCCTGTGTGGAACCTGGGATTCAAACACCTGGTCGGGAAGCACTGTAGCAGGGACTCTGGCCTTCCAAGAGCCCGTGTTTCCCCCTTTACACCCAATAAAATCCTGTCTTACTCACCATTTAAGTTGTGAGTCTGAATTTTCATGGCCATGGGACAAAGAACCCCCTTTTTAGCTGAACTAAGGAAAAGTCCTGCAATATTTTTTGGCACACAATGTGAGGGTTTGAGAAGCAATGAGTGAGGTGCAAACTCACAGTTCCACATGGCTGGGGAGGCCTCACAATCATGGCAGAAGGTGAAGGAGGAGCAAAGTCACATCTTACATGGCATCAGGCAAGAAGAGTGTGCAGGGAAAATTCCCTTTATAAAACCATCAGATCTTGTGAGACTTATTTACTATCACGACAACAGCATGGGAAAGACCCATTCCCATGATTCAGTTACCTCTCACTGGGTCCCTCCCATGCTCCCATGCAGGAATTATGGGAGCTACAACTGAAGATGAGATTTGGGTGGGGACACAGCCAAACCACATCAAACACTGAAATAGAAAAAAAAAGACTTGAAACAAACCCACAGATCTGTGGAAATTTATTTATGACAAAGACAACACTACAGAAGAATAGAGAAAAATTATAATTTTCAATATATGGTGCTGGACCAATGGGATATTAATTAAAAAAATAAATTTGTCCCAACTTATACTGTGTATAAACATCTATTCCAGATAGATTGTAGATTTAGATGTGAAAGGGAAAAAGTATCTTCTAGAATAGGGTACGGAAACTTTTTTGGAAAGGCCAGATAGTAAATATTTTAGGCATTGTGTGTCATCAGGTCTCGGTCACAACTACTCAACTCTGTAGTTGTAGTGCTAAAGCAGCCATAGACAAAAGTAAGTAACTGGGTGTGGCTGTGTTCCTATAAAACTTTATAAAACAGACACAAGTGGCCCACTGGCTACAGTTTCCCAACTCCTGTTTTAGAAATCAATATGAAATAATAACTTTATGGTATTATTAGGTATTATTAGGAAGAGGAATTATTTCTGTAACTGGTCTTAAAAATCACTGACAGGTAAAAAATGATGAATACACTTCAATCATTGAAACTACAAAATTCTGTTCATCAGGTGACACCATTAGGAGTCAAAAGACAAATCACAGAAAAGGAAGAGATATTTTTAGTGCTTGTGCTTGTTAAAAGGCATATCCAGAACATATAAATACTTCATATCAATAAGAAAAATAGTAAAAAATTGCAAAAACCTGAATAGATAAATCTCAAAGGGTAAACATAAGTGGCCAATGCATTTGTGAAATGGATGGTGCTCGTTTGCTTCAATAATCATAAAAGCAAAAATTATACCCATCATGCACTCACATCAGATTGACTAAAATTAAAAAGAAACCTAAGAAAACCAAATATTGATGAAGATGTAGAGCAATGGAAACACATACACTGATAAGTGTTTAATATGGTGCAACCACTCTGGAAAATTTTGGCAGTGTTTCAAAAAACCTGAGTACAAATATACAATGAGGATATATATACATATGCAAGATGAGCCAAAATACATGCATAAAATATTCTAAGCAGAATTGTTTCTGAGGTTTGAAAACGTGAAAAACTATAATTTTTATGAAGACAGAATAAATAAATAAGTTGTATATGTATATTATGAAGTATTTACAGCTGTGGAAATAAGTGAAGTACAGAAATGCTTAATGCATAGATGAATCTTAAAAATATAATGTTATTTGAAAGAATTCAAGTACAACAGAATCCATGTATATAAAAATTAAAAAAATTAAACCATATTATTTGGAGATGCATAGTTAGGTAAGACATCTGTAAAGGAAAGGAAAAGTGTGAAATCTATATATGTAAGAATAATAATTAATGTTGAGAGAGAAGGATAGGGATTATAACCATGAAGCGGCACTTTGGCCACCTCTGAGTACATTTTTCTAAAACTTGACTTGGGTGGGCTTTTGGGTGTTCCATCACAGTGTATTGTACAATAATTCTTTAAGGTGTACATTTATGTTCTTTTGATCTGAAAATTTCTCCTGTCTGCTTTTGGTAACTTCCTTTTCTCTGTTTTCTCTCTCTTCTATTTTTTGAAAGATGTTGGAATTCCTGGAAAATGTGGCGTTCTTAATAGTCATAAAAGTACTAAATATATACTGCAAAATGCTAGGTGTGTCTCTGAGATTTAGGACAACTTCTGAAAGTACTGTCATTAACGGAGAAGCTGGAATAAAAAGAAAAGTCACTCCAGAGCTTAAGTAGTTCCTACAAGTATCTCAATTTATGATGCTTCAAAACAGCTATTGAAACAATTTTACTTTAACTTATCTAATGGAGTATTTAGACTTCAAAATCCTATTAAGTTCATTTTTCATCCTCAAGAACTACAAAAATATCAAAATCAAATATTCTAGATTTTTCATTTTATTTAAGTTTTCTACTTTCTCAAGGGAGAAAGAGGGTATAAGGAATAAAATTAATCACTCTAGCTTTTTTAATAAAAAGTCTTTTTGGCATGAATGGAATTATGTGACTGTATAAATAACTAGGACATGAGCAAGAGATGGAGCAAGAAAAAGTGATATTGGATATTGGATCAGAAACATAAAGGAAGTTTTCAAAAATTCTTTTTCAAGTTACAAGTTGGTAACATAGCTCTGAACTATCCCATGAATCAACATTTATCTTCAAGACAAAAATCAAATTTATCTTCAGTCAAAATATGGAAAGGATAATAACTCAACAAAAATGAGAAAGAAATGCATTTAAAAACACACTTCAGAAAAAGACAGAAAGACCATTTCAATAGCCAAATAAATCACCTTTCTATGTGTCAGTTTTCTTGAAGCACTCAGAGAAAAAATGTAGAACATCTAAAACCAGGTGACATGGCAATACCTCCATGCTCATCCCCAAAATAAGTAGTAAAAACTTGGAAGGCCAAGTGGGAAAGAAAAAAGCATTATCTTAAAGATGATTATTGGAACTGATAAAAATATTTTTCTTTTGTGATCACAAAAATTGAGCTCCTTGAGTAATTATCTAAGCAGAGAAAGATAGGGGGAAATTACTGTGGTTAATTAACATGAGATCTTTTCAAAGATGATTGATAACTAGAACTCTTGGTCTTCTTGGTTAACGACTAGCTTTGCTGCTGTCATCTTCAGGCTGGAGATTTGCCTGTGTAAAAATATTCCTGGGACTGGTTGGAGCAAAAGTGTTGTACCTTAAAATAGAGGGCAATGAAAACAGCTTTTAATCTCCTTAAATTAATGACAATATTTAGTTAGCATAATCAAAGGAGACTATTAGAGTTAAATTGGTCAATATCAATATAATTGTAACATATATAATCCAAAAGAAATCAGTGCATAGCATGTTATTTTTAGTGTTGGCACTTTAGTTTATAATTTCATTTTAAATATGAGTTTTGTACATATACCAATCATCATGGATTAAGTATTCAATAAATACATTCGGCTTAATTATAATTTTTATTATAATTTTATTATATTTTTAATGGATATTATCTTTATCTCAGGTGTAGACAATTTATTTACAAAATAAATTGTCTACATTTTAGATTGGGAAGATCAATTGCCATATTAGAAATTGCTGGGAGGAAGAATCAATGTCCTCTTTTTTCCATGCAATCTTTTTCTTTTCCAGTTAGCCTCTTCATGGCCCCCTTGAACTCCTTATTCCTTACCGTATAAATTAATGGGTTCAAGCTGGGAGTAACAATGGAGTAAAATATACTGAGAAGTTTGCCCTCATTCTGATTTGGACTGTTTCCTGGCTGTATATACATGTATGTAACTGTCCCACAGAAGATGGATACCACAACGAGATGGGAGGAACAGGTCCCAAATGCTTTTTGTCTTCCTGCTGCAGACTTGATCTTGAGTACAGCCACAGCAATGAAACCATATGACACAAGAATAAGAAGAAGAGGAACAAGAACTATAATCAGGCACATGGCAAATGTGGTTACCTCCATGGCTGTGGTGTCCACACATGCAATCTTGAATCTTGATCATTGCAGACATTTCACACACACAAAAAAGTGGTCTAGGTGGTGGTTCCTACATCGAGGAAGACTCGTGGCATAGGGGGAAGGTATGATGCAATTAATCACACCAACTACCCAGGAGATGACCACAAGGCCCTGGCAGAGTTGGAGGTTCATTATGGTCATATGATGCAGAGGCTTGCAGATAGCATTGAGTCGATCATATGACATCATGGACAGAAGGATGCATTCAACTGAGTACAGTGCCACATCAATGAAAAGTTGAAAGGCACACCCACCAAAGGTAATTCTTTTGTCTTTGCCCCAGATACTGACCAACATTTGTGGGACTATATTTGTGGTATAACAGAGATCCAAGATGGCCAAATTTCTAAGGAAGAAGTACATGGGGACTTGGAGATGGTCATCTAGGAAAGACAATAGGATGATGGCCATATTTCCCATGAAGGCAATAGTGTAGAAGAAAAAGACAACCCCAGAGATCATCATCTGAAGCTGAGGCTGCCCTGTGAATCCAAGGAGTATAAAACCACTGAAGTGGCTATCATTGATCATTCTGTTTTTTCTTAAGGGAAATCCATGTCATCATTTTGGTAAAGGGCAACGGTGTGATTTTCTTATTTATTTTGCATTGGGTTTGGTGAACTTCTCGGATTTATGGTGGTGTCATTAATTTTGGAAAATTCTCAACCATTATCTCTTAAGATTTTTTTCTGTTTATTTCTTTTTCTTATATTCTGGAGCTCCAAGTACTCATGTGTCAGAGGAGATAATATTATCCTACATAACTTGGATGCTTTTTCTTTTTTCTCTTTGGGTTGAAGTTTGGATAATTTCAATTGACTTGTATTTCAGTTCATGAATTCTTTCCTCTACTGAGTCCAGCCTATTGTTAAGCCCACCAAATTAATTATTTATTTCTTATATTATTTCTGGTATGTTTTTTTTTATATCCAACATTTCCATTTGGTTCTTCTGTACAATGCTAATCTCTTTGTTGAGATCTCCCCTTTGTTCATAAATCTTGTCTGCCTTTACCAGCGAAATGTTAAAACATATTTAAAAAATTCTTATCTGATGATTCTAATGTCTGAACCATGTCTGGATATACTTCACTTGAATATTTCCTCTTTTTAGCTTCAAATGACTCCTGTTTCTTTCTTTTTCTTTTTTCTTTTTCTTTCTTTTTTTTTTTTTTTTTTTTTTTTGAGACGGAGTCTTACTCTGTTACCCAGGCTGGAGTGCCTGGGTGATCTCTGCTCACTGCAACCTCTGCCTCCCAGGTTCAAGTGATTCTCCTGCCCCAGCCTCGCTAGTAGCTGGAATTACAGGCGTGCACTGTTTCTATTTTTCTTGCTTGTTAGTGTGCCTCATAGTGTTTAATTTTTATTTTATGCCAGGCATTGTGTGTCTTGGTCAGCTTGGGCTGCTCTAACAAAATACCACAGGCTGGGTGGAATAAACAACAGACACTTATTTCTCAAAGTTCTGGAGGCTGGGAGGTTTAAGATAAAGGAGTAGGAGGTGCAGTTCCTGATGAGGCCCTACTTCTTGACTTGCAGACGGCTGCCTTTTCACTTGCTGTTCCCTCAAGTGGTAGGGAAAGAGTGTGCTCTTCCTTTTATGGTCCCTCTTCCTTTTATGAGGTCACTAATCCCCTTATGGAGGCCCACCCTCATGACCTGATTTAAACCTAATTACTTTCCAAAGGCCCCATCTCCAAATACCATCACATGGAGGGTTAGGGCTTCAACATATGAATTTTGGGGGTACACAGACATTGAATCCATAGCATTCTGCCTTTTGTCTCCCAAATTAATGTTATTCTTACACACACAAAAAAATTGATCTTATTTCAGTAGCCCCCAAAGTCTTAACTTATTCCAAGATCAACTCTAAAATTGGAAGTCCTGTCTCATCTAAATATCATCTAAATCAGATATAGGTGAGGCTCAAGATACGATTAATCCTGAGGAAAAATTCATCCCCAGTTATAAGTCTGTGAAACCAGATAAATTACACACTTCCAAAATACAATGATAGATTAGACATAGAATAGGCATTCTCATTCCAACACCTGGAAGAAAGAAAGGGGTGGCAGGTTCCAAGCAAATCTAAAATCTTGTAATGCAAATACCATTAGATCTTAAAGCTCAAGGATAATCTTTGGTTTCATAATTTGCCTTCTGGGTCTACTGGGATGACAGTCCCACTTTCTGGACAAACTGGGATAGTAGATAGTCGGACCTCTGTAGCTCTGCAGGGAAGGGGTCATGTCCTCATGACTCTTCATTGTACCCAAAAGGCTCTGGCAGCCACTCTGACACCAACTGCCCATTGAAACTGAGATGATAGCCCCAACCTTTAAATCTGAGGTGGCAGCCCAGATAATCTCTAAAACACCTTTAGGGTCTTTCTTCCCTTGTCTTGAAGAGTAATATCACACATTCACATCTGAATAGCTCTATGGTCCAGTCCCAAAGAATCTAAGAAGTCTGACAGACTTCCTTCATTTTATCCCATTCCCATCTCCTTCAGTTCAGACTGACAGTGTTTCTGCTTATATAATCCCGTAATCTCTTTATCGAGTGAGGGTCCAGCCACACCTTTGGTGGTTTTTTTTTTTTCTCAGCATGCTTTCTCATCTTTTGCAGTGTGGATAGGCTGAGAACTTTCCAATTTTTTAAGTTCCAGCTCCTTTTTTTTTTTTAACAATTCCTTTTTTGATTCATTTATCTCTTTTTTTTTTCTTGCATCTTAGTAGAAGCAGTCAGGATGAACAAAGTGACTCCTTCAACACTTTGATTAGAAATGTCAGCTATGTTCACTGTTAATTTCATCACTTACTAGTTTTACATTCCACAAAACAATAAAACATGAACATAATTCAGCCAAGTTCTTTACCACTTTATAAAAAGAATCACTTTTTCTCAATTGTCCAATAGCTTATTCTTCATTTCTGTCTAAGCCTTCCCCAGAATGACCTTTACCATACATATTTCTGCCAACATTCTGTTTATAATTATTTATGTATTCTATAAGAAAATGGAAGTTTTTCTCCAGCAGTCTTATATTCTGTATAAGCCCTAAACAGAATAGCTATTATTGTGCATATTTATAGCATGCATCCCCAAATTCCTTAACTTCTACCCCTTTTCCAGTTTTAAAGCCACTTCTACATTTTCAGCTACATCCCACTCCTGGTACAAAAATATGTCTTAGCTCAGGATGTTATAACAAAATACCATAGCTTGGGTGGCTTAAACAACAGACATTTATTTCTCATAATTCTGGAAGCTGGAATGTCCAAATTTAAGGTGCCAGAAAATTTAGTTTTTGGTGAAGTCTCTCTTGCTGACAGACCTTTCACTGTATTCTCACATTGTGTAGATAAAACTCTGATCTTTCTTCCTTTTCTTATAAAAACACTAACCCTGACATGGGGGCCCCACTCTCATGACTGCATCTAAACCTAATTTAACTTCCCAAAGACTCTACCTCCAAATATCATCACATTGTGGTAAGTGCTTCAACATATAAATTTGGAGTGACACAAACAGTCCATAACAATTTGTAAAAAATACTTGTAGGGACAGAAATAAATAGTAAGTAGTATTTATCCTCAGGATAGGACATATTCCTTATTTATCAGGGTATGAGTATGGGGAACTCAGACTGTCTGATGTGTAGCTAAGCTTAAACCTGTTGTAAACTTGGTTAAATTCAGTTAACCACTGTCTTCAACTATTTTGAAGGAAGGGTGGGCCTGAATTCTGGTGAGAGTCCAGATAAGTCTTGATGTTTTATAGTGAGGCTACCAGCCTTTTGGACTACGGGAGATTTCTCTTTGCTTTATAGTCTGGCTGCCAGCCTTTTGGGTCAGTGGGGACTTCTATTTGCTTCCCAGTCCTGTCCCTAGCTTTCTGCCCTTTGAGGGCACTCCCAAACTTTGGAAGGACACTTCAGCACACATTATGAAAGCTTGTAGTGCATTGGAGTGAATTATCTTAGCTTTTCTGCTGCACTTGTGGCAAAATACCCATCCAAGTTTGCTCCTGTAGTGTTGAGAATATCTAGATAGTTTCAAGTAAATTACAGTGCTATCAATCCCAAAATAAAAAAAAAATCTTTGTTTTCATGTCAGGTCACCCTATTTCTTTTGTTTGGTGAAATGACCATGATTTGGCTGAAGTTTTTGAAATGATATCTGAGGCAATACCTTTAAAGAGGGTATCAGTTATCATGATTAATCACAACACAACTAGGTAGGATGTTTCTGTCTCCCTGGAGCATGCTGAGAGATGACACTTGTTGTGTGCCCATCAGACTAACACTAACAGTGTGTCAGGAGACAGAAAATAATGATAAAATTTGCCATTTTAAGCTACAAAAATCTTGGGGATTATATTGGAATGGATTGTCATGAAGAGAGAAAACATTTGACTGAACCAAATGTGGATTAAGCCAAATTTATCAACATGAGAGCCCTTAAAAGATATTCTAATTTTATGTGCTGGCTCAAACAGCTGGGAGAAGCTAAGACCATTTCTTCATTGGGTTGATTTAAAAACTCAACTAACCAGGGTGGAGCCAAAATGGCCGAATAGGAACAGCTCCAGTCTACAGCTCCCAGCGTGAGCAACACAGAAGACAGGTGATTTCTGCATTTCCAACTGAGGTACTGGGTTCATCTCACTGGGGAGTGCCGGATAGTGGGTGCAAGACAGTGGGTGCAGTGCACCATGTGTGAGCCGAAGCAGGGCGAGGCATCGCCTCACCTGGGAATCACAAGGGGTCAGGGAATTCCCTTTCCTAGTCAAAGAAAGGGGTGACAGACAGCACCTGGAAAATTGGGTCACTCCCAACCTAATACTGTGCTTTTCCAATGGGCTCAACAAACAGCACATCAGGAGATTATATCCAGCACCTGGCTCGGAGGGTCCTACGCCCAAGGAGCCTTGCTCATTGCTAGCACAGCAGTCTGAGATCAAACTACAAGGCAGCAACAAGGCTGGGGGAGGGCACCCACCATTGCCAAGGCTTGAGTAGGTAAACAAAGCGGCCAGGAAGCTCGAACTGGGTGGAGCCCACCACAGCTCAAGGAGGCCTGCCTGCCTCTGTAGGCTCCACCTCTGGGAGCAGGGCACAGACAAACAAAAGGCAGCAGTAACCTCTGCAGACTTAAATGTCCCTGTCTGACAGCTTTGAAGAGAGTAGTGGTTCTCCCAGCACGCAGCTTGAGAACTGAGAACGGGCAGACTGCCTCCTCAAGTGGGTCCCTGACCCCCAAGTAGCCTAACTGGGAGGCATCCCCCAGTAGGGGCGGACTGACACCTCACACGGCCAGGTACTCCTCTGAGACAAAACTTCCAGAGGAACAATCAGGCAGCAGCATTTGCGGTTCACCAATATCTGCTGTTCTGCAACCACTGCTGCTGATACCCAGGAAAACAGGGTCTGGAGTGGACCTCCAGCAAACTCCAACAGACCTGCAGCTGAGGGTCCTGACTGTTAGAAGGAAAACTAACAAACAGCAAGGACATCCACACCAAAAACCCATCTGTACGTCACCATCATCAAAGACCAAAGGTAGATAAAACCACAAAGATGGGGAAAAAACAGAGCAGAAAAATTGGAAACTCTAAAAATCAGAGCGCCTCTCGTCCTCCAAAGGAATGCGGCTCCTCACCAGCAACGGAACAAAGCTGGAGGGAGAATGACTTTGACAAGTTTAGAGAAGAAGTCTTCAGAGGATCAAACTACTCCTAGCAAAAGGAGGAAGTTTGAACCAATGGCAAAGAAGTTAAAAACCTTGAAAAAAAAAATCAGATGAATGGATAAACAGAATAACCAATGCAGAGAAGTCCTTAAAGGACCTGATGGAGCTGAAAACCATGGCACGAGAACTACGTGATGAATGCACAAGCCTCAGTAGCCGATGCAATCAACTGGAAGAAAGGGTATCAGTTATGGAAGACGAAATGAATGAAATGAAGCGAGAAGAGAAGTTTAGAGAAAAAAGAATAAGAAGAAACGAACAAAGCATCCAAGAAATATGGGACTATGTGAAAAGACCAAATCTATGTCTGATTGGTGCACCTGAAAATGACGGGGATAATGGAACCAAGTTGGAAAACACTCTGCAGGGTATTATCCAGGAGAACTTCCCCAATCTAGCAAGGCAGGCCAACATTCAAATTCAGGAAATACAGAGAATGCCACAAAGATACTCCTCGAGGAGAGCAACTCCAAGACACATGATTGTCAGATTCACCAAAGTTGAAATGAAGGAAAAAATGTTAAGGGCAGCCAGAGAGAAAGGTCAGGTTACCCACAAAGGGAAGCCCATCAGACTAACAGTGGATCTCTCGGCAGAAACTCTACAAGCCAGAAGAGAGTGGGGGCCAATATTCAACATTCTTAAAGTAAAGAATTTTCAACCCAGAATTTCATATCCAGCCAAGCTAAGCTTCATAAGTGAAAGAGAAATAAAATCCTTTACAGACAAGCAAATGCTGAGAGATTTTGTCACCACCAGGCCTGCCCTAAAAGAGCTCCTGTAGGAAGCACTAAACATGGAAAGGAACAACCTGTACCAGCCACTGAAAAAACATGCCAAATTGTAAAGACCTTCAAGGCTAGGAAGAAACTGCATCAACTAACAAGCAAAATAACCAGCTAACATCATAATGACAGGATCAAATTCACACATAACAATATTAACCTTAAATGTAAATGGGCTAAATGCGCCAATTAAAAGACACAGACTGGCAAATTGGATAAAGAGTCAAGACCCGTCAGTATGCTGTATTCAGGAAACCCATCTCACATGCAGAGACACACATAGGCTCAAAATAAAGCGATGGAGGAAGATCTACCAAGCAAATGAAAGACAAAAAAAGGCAGGGGTTGCAATCCTAGTCTCTGAAAAACCAGACTTTAAACCAACAAAGATCAAAAGAGACAAAGAAGGCCATTACATAATGGTAAAGGGATCAATTCAACGAGAAGAGCTAACTATCCTAAATATATATGCACCCAATACAGGAGCACCCAGATTCATAAAGCAAGTCCTTAGAGACCTACAAAGAGACTTAGACTCCCACACAATGATAATGGGAGACTTTAACACCCCACTGTCAACATTAGACAGATCAACGAGACAGAAAGTTAACAAGGATACCTGGGAATTGAACTCAGCTCTGCACCAAGCGGACCTAATAGACATCTACAGAACTCCCCACCCCAAATCAACAGAATATACATTCTTTTTAGCACCACACCACACCTATTCCAAAATTGACCACATAGCTGGAAATAAAGCTCTCCTCAGCAAATGTGAAAGAACAGAAATTATAACAAACTGTCTCTCAGACCACAGTGCCATCAAACTACAACTCAGGATTAAGAAACTCACTCAAAACCACTCAACTACATGGAAACTGAACAACCTGCTCCTGAATGACTACTGGGTACATAATGAAACGAAGGCAGAAATAAAGATATTCTTTGAAACCAACAAGAACAAAGACACAACATACCAGAATCTCTGGGACACATTTAAAGCAGTGTGTAGAGGGAAATTTATAGCACTAAATGCCCACAAGAGAAAGCAGGAAAGATCTAAAACTGACACCAGAACATCACAATTAAAACATCTAGAGAATCAAGAGCAAACACATTCAAAAGCTAGCAGAAGGTAAGAAATAACTAAGATCAGAGCAGAACTGAAGGAAATAGAGACACAAAAAACCCTTCAAAAAATCAATGAATCCAGAAGCTGGTTTTTTGAAAAGATCAACAAAATTCATAGACCACTAGCAAGACTAATAAAGAAGAAAAGAGAGAAGAATCAAATAGACGCAATAAAAAATGATAAAGGGGATATCACCACCAATCCCACAGAAATACAAACTACCATCAGAGAATACTATAAACACCTCTACACAAATAAACTAGAAAATCTAGAAGAAATGGATAAATTCCTCGACACATACACCCTCCCAAGACTAAACCAGGAAGAAGTTGAATCTCTGAATAGACCAATAACAGGCTCTGAAATTGAGGCAATAATTAGCAGCTTACCAACCAAAAAAAGTCCAGGACCAGATGGATTCACAGCCGAATTCTACCAGAAGTACAAAGAGGAGCTGCTACCATTCCTTCTGAAACTATTCCAATCAATAGAAAAAGAGGGAATCCTCCCTAACTCATTTTATGAGGCCAGCATCATCCTGATACCAAAGCCTGGCAGAGACACAACCAAAAAAGAGAATTTTAGACCAATATCCTTGATGAACATTGATGCAAAAATCCTCAATAAAATACTGGCAAACTGAATCCAGCAGCACATCAAAAAGCTTATCCACCATGATCAAGTGGCCTTCATCCCTGGGATGCAAGACTGGTTCAACATATGAAAATCAATAAATGTAATCCAGCATATAAACAGAACCAAAGACAAAAACCACATGATTATCTCAATAGATGCAGAAAAGGCCTTTGACAAAATTCAACAACACTTCATGCTAAAAACTCTCAATAAATTAGGTATTGATGGGACATATCTTAAAATAATAAGAGCTATCTATGACAAACCCACAGCCAATATTATACTGAATGGACAAAACTGGAAGCATTCCCTTTGAAAACTGGCAAAAGACAGGGATGCCCTCTCTCACCATTCCTATTCAACATAGAGTTGGAAGTTCTGGCCAGGGCAATCAGGCAGGAGAAGGAAATAAAGGGCATTCAATTAGGAAAAGAGGAAGTCAAATTGTCCCTGTTTGCAGATGACATGATTGTATATCTAGAAAACCCCATCGTCTCAGCCCAAAATCTCCTTAAGCTGATAAGGAACTTCAGCAAAGTCTCAGGATACAAAATCAGTGTGCAAAAATCACAAGCATTCCTATACACCAATAACAGACAAACAGAGAGCCAAATCATGAGTGAACTCCCATTCACAATTGCTTCAAAGAGAATCAAATACCTAGGAATCCAACTTACAAGGGATGTGAAGGACCTCTTCAAGGAGAACTACAAACCACTGCTCAATGAAATAATAGAGGATACAAACAAATGGAAGAACATTACCTGCTCATGTGTAGGAAGAATCAATATCGTGAAAATGGCCATACTGCCCAAGGTAATTTATAGATTCAATGCCTTGCCCATCAAGCTACCAATGACTTTCTTCACAGAGTTGGAAAAAACTACTTTAAAGTTCATATGGAACCAAAAAAGAGCCTGCATTTCCAAGTCAATCCTAAGCCAAATGAACAAAGCTGGAGGCATCATGCTACCTGACTGCAAACTATACTACAAGGCTACAGTAACCAAAACAGCATGGTACTGGTACCAAAACAGAGATATAGAACAGTGGAACAGAACAGAGCCCTCAGAAATAATGCCACATATCTACCAGTATCTGATCTTTGAAAAACCTGACAAAAACAAGCAATGGGGAAAGGATTCTCTATTTAATAAATGGTGCTGGGAAAACTGGCTAGCCATATGTAGAAAGCTGAAACTGGATCCCCTCCTTACACCTTATACAAAAATTAATTCAAGATGGATTAAAGACTTCAATGTTAGACCTAAAACCAGAAAAACCCTAGAATAAAACCTAGGCAATACCATTCAGGACATAGGCATGGGCAAGGACTTCATGTCTAAAACACCAAAAGCAATGGCAACAAAAGCCAAAATTGACAAATGGGATCTAATTAAACTAAAGAACTTCTGCACAACAAAAGAAACTACCATCAGAGTGAATAGGCAACCTACAGAATGGGAGAAAATTTTTGCAACCTACCCATCTGACAAAGGGCTAATATCCAGAATCTACAGTGAACTCCAACAAATTTACAAGAAAAAAACAAACAACCCCATCAAAAAGTGGGTGAAGGATATGAACAGACATTTTTCAAAAGAAGACATTTATGCAGCCAAAAAACACATGAAAAAATGCTCATCATCACTGGCCATCAGAGAAATGCAAATCAAAACCACAATGAGATACCATCTCACACCAGTTAGAATGGTGATCATTAAAAAGTCAGGAAACAACAGGTGCTGGACAGGATGTGGAGAAATAGGAACACTTTTACACTGTTGGTGGGACTGTAAACTAATTTAACCATTGTGGAAGTCAGTGTGGCGATTCCTCAGGGATCTAGAACTAGAAATACCATTTGACCCAGCCATCCCATTGCTGGGTATATACCCAAAGGATTATAAATCATGCTGCTAGAAAGACACACACACACATATGTTTATTGCGGCACTATTCACAATAGCAAAGACTTGGAACCAACCCAAATGTCCAACAATGATAGGCTGGATTAAGAAAATGTGGCACATATACACCATGGAATACTATGCAGCCATAAAAAATGATGAGTTCATGTCCTTTGTAGAGTCATGGATGAAGCTGGAAACCATCATTCTCAGCAAACTATCACAAGGACAAAAAACCAAACACCGCATGTTCTCACTCATAGGTGGGAATTGAACAATGAGAACACGTGGTGACAGGAAGGGGAACATCACACACGGGGGACTGTTGTGGGGTGTGGTGAGGGGGCAGGGATAGCATTAGGAGATATACCTATTGCTAAATGATTAGTTAATGGGTGCAGCACACCAACATGGCACATGTAGACATATGTAACAAACCTGCACGTTGTGCACATGTACTCTAAAACTTAAAGTATAATAATAATAAAATTTTAAAAAAGTAATGTTCAAGTTTATTTGGGTATGAAATTCTAATACCATCCAGAGAGAGTTCATGCTGCTTCAAAATAATTTTAAGTGTAATTCTACAAATAAAGAAACCATTTATATCAATAAAAAAAATAAAACCATAAAATTTTAAAAATAAAGAGATGAATATTGAAGATAATCTGATTAGGTAAGATGTTGGTTTATTTCATTTCATACTCTAAGCACATTTTTTTCATAATGGAATTATGCTCTACATGCCCTCCTCAGGAAACTTCCCAGGAAGGTCATCATAATGCTGTTGTTTTGTGCTCATTATTGTTACAAATTCAAAAAATGTAAAAAATATGACAAGAAATATACCCAATAAAGATATTTATGGTGCAAACACATCCCTCTTCCACTCCTTACTCCATCTCACTATTTGCCATTTTTCACTTTTCTGAAGATATTCTTTACACATATTAGTGTATGTGGGGTAGTTGTGTATGTGTTCATGTGTTTTAATAGATACATTTATTTATATATGCATATTGATAGGTTAGTAGAGAGATAACATCCTGTGTCATCTTATAAATACCATCTTGTAACTTTTTTCTCCTTAAATATATCAATTCTCTAACTACAGACTTGCCTCGCTATTTTTAATAAATGCAAAATATTACATTATGAAGATGTGTTTAACAACTTCAGGACTGGTAGTCATTTATGAGATGTGTAGCTTTTTGCTAATGCAAACAACACTGCAACAAAGGTCTTTGTACACCCACTTCTGAATGAATATGTGCAAATTTGTGTCAAGTGAATACTTTTATGTATCAAATACATCAATAATTTAAGGCCTTTAAGTGATCTTAGGTCTTTTGCCTAATATTTCTACATTTAAATTTTTATTGTTTTGAAATTAAAGATAGGAATTTATTTATTTTTTTCCTGATTTTAAATCAGTTAGCACACACACACTCCATTGAAACGTTCTGCCTTTACGTAATGATATGAAATTACTCCTTCATGATAAAGTAAATCTCCATACACATTTGGGTTCATTTCTGAAGCCTGATATGAAATGCTTTCAAAAACCTTGCTTCGTATTATTTATTTGAGAGCAAGTTAATTTAGTGGTTTTGATAAGTATACTTTTTAAAATAAAGAAATGCAAAGTCTGGTATTTAAGCTTATCTGTCCAAGAAGACGATTAAGTATTTATACACAGTCTTAGCATTTTCATGTCTATTATTTTTCCTACTATTCCAGAAAGATTGTAACAGAAAAAAAAGGCTAATATAATGGAGATAGTGGGCCAGAATATATGTTGAATTACAATTTCAACCTTCACTCTGAGGGGCCTAGATTAGTTATGCTCAATAACTTGGAGGAGGAAAAACTAGATCAAATTTGGAAGCATTGGTTTGTGTTCCTAGTCTACCTGTCTGTAATCTTGAGAAACTTTGATTTTCTCAGTTTTGGAATTGTCATCAGCTAAATATGAATAATGAAAATGTATTTTCCTAATTTATATAGTGACAATGTTATCCAATGAATCAATATGTCTTATGTTTGTGAAGTATCTTATACAATACATTAAGTGAGAATGAGGAAACACTATAGGAAGAAATAGGAAAAAAAAATCATATTTTAAACTTACATTATTTTAACGAGTGCATGAAGTTGTCATATCTTTATCAGAATAATAAGTACATGTGAAGGAAAAATTTACCTATTTCATAATCCATATTTAAAAAATCACCTTGACATTGGCTCTGTTTAAGTGACGGATTACGTTTATTGATTTGTGTATGTTGAACCAGCCTTTCATCCCAGGGATGAAGTCGATTTGATTATGGTGGATAAGCTTTTTGATGTGCTGCTGGATTCGGTTTGCCAGTATTTTATTGAGGATTTTCACATCGATGTCATCAGGGATATTGGCCTGAAATTTTCTTTTTTTGTTGTGTCTCTGCCAGGTTTTGGTATCAGGATGATGCTGGCCTCACAAAATGAGTTAGGGAAGATTCCGACTTTTTCTATTGTTTGGAATAGTTTCAGAAGGAATAGTACCAGCTCCTCTTTGTACCTCTGGTAGAATTCGGCTGTGAATCTGTCTGATCCTGGGCTTCTTTTTTGGTTGGTAGGCTATTAATTACTGCCTGAATTTCAGAACTTGTTATTGGTCTATTCAGGGATTAGATTTCTTCCTGGTTTAGTCTTGGGAGGATGTATGTGTCCAGGAATTTATCCATTTCTTCTAAATTTTCTAGTTTATTTGCATAGAGTTATTTATAGTATCCTCTGATGGTAGTTTGTATTTCTGTAAGATCAGTGGTGATATCCCCCTTATCATTTTTTGTCGTGTCTATTTGATTCTTCTCTGTTTTCTTCTTTATTAGTCCAGTTAGTGGTCTATTTTGTTAAGCTTTTCAAAAAACCAGCTCCTGGATTCATTGATTTTTTGAACGGTTTCTTGTGTCTCTATCTCCTTCATCTCTGCTCTGATCTGTTATTTCTTGTCTTCTGCTAGCTTTTGAATTTGTTTGATCTTTCTTCTCTAGTTCTTTTAATTGTGATGTCAGGTTGTTTATTTTAAAGGCCTTCAATAAAATTCAACACCTCTTCATGCTAAAAACTCTCAATAAACTAGGTATTGACGGAACGTGTCTCAAAATAATAAGAGCTATTTATGACAAACCCAAAGCTAATATCATACTGAATGGGCAAAAGCTGGAAGCAGTCTCTTTGAAAACCAGCACAAGACAAGAATGCCCTCTCTCACCACTCCTATTCAACATAGTATTGGAAGTTCTGGTCAGGGCAATCAGGCAAGAGAAAGAAATAAAGTGTATTCAAATAGGAAGGCAGGAAGTCAAATTGTCTCTGTTTGCAGATGACATGATTGTATATTTAGAAAACCCCATCGTCTCAGACCTAAATCTCCTTAAGCTGAAAAGCAACTTCAGCAAAGTCTTAGGATACAAAATCAATTTGCAAAAATCACAAGCATTCCTATACACCAATAATAGACAAACAGCCAAATCATGAGTAAACTCCCATTCACAATTGTTACAAAGAGAATAAAATACCTAGGAATACAACTTACAAGGAATGTGAAGGACCTCTTCAAGGAGAACTCCAAACCACGGCTCAAGGAAATAAGAGAGGACACAAACAAATGAAAAAACATTCCATGCTCATGGATGGGAATAATCAATATCGTGAAAATGGACATACTGCCTGAAGTAATTTAGAGATTCAATGCTATCCCCATCAAGTTACTATTGACTTTCTTCACAGAATTAGAAAAAAACTACTTTAAATTTCATATGAAACCAAAAAAGAGCCCGTATAGCCAAGACAATCATAAGCAAAAATAACAAAGCTGGAGGCATCATGTTACCTGACTTCAAACTATACTACAAGGATACAGTAACCAAAACAGCATGGTACTGATACCAAAACAGATATATAGACCAATAGAACAGAACAGAGGCCTCAGAAATAATGCCACACATCTACAACCATCAGATCTTTGACAAACCTGACAAAAACAAGCAATGGGGAAGGGATTTCATATTTAATAAATGGTTTTGGGAAAACTGGCTAGCCATATGCAGAAAACGGAAACTGGACCCCTTCCTTACACCTTATAAAAAAATTAACTCAAGATGGATTAAGATTTAAATGTAAGACCCAATATCATAAAAACTCTAGAAGATAACATAGACAATACCATTCATGACATAGGCATGGTCAAAGACATCATGACTAAAACACCAAAAGCAATGGCAACAAAAGCCAAAATAGACAAATAGGATCTAATTAAACTAAAGAGCTTCTGCACAACAAAAGAAACTATCATCAGAGTGAACAGTTAACCTACGGAATGGAAGAAAATTTTTGCAATCTATCCATCTGACAAAGGACTAATATCCAGAATCTACAAATAACTTAAACAAATTTACAAGAAAAAAAACAACCCCATCAAAAAGTGGGTGAAGAATATGAACAGACACCTCTCAAAAGAAGGCATGAAGGCATTTATGTGGTCAACAAACATATGAAATGAAGCTCATCATCATTGGTCATTAGAGAAATGCAAATCAAAACTACAATGAGATACCATCTCATGCCAGTTAGAATGGTGATCATTAAAAAGTCAGGAAACAAGAGAGGCTGGAGAGGATGTGGAGAAATAGGAATGCTTTTACACTGTTGGTGGGTATGTAAATTAGTTCAACCATTGTGGAAGACAGTGTGGTGATTTCTGAAGGATCTAGAACCAGAAATACCATTTGACCTAGAAATCCCATTACTGGATATATACCCAAAGGATTATAAAACATTCCACTATAAAGACACACGCACATATATGTTTATTGCAGCACTATTTACAATAGCAAAGACTTGGAACCCAAATGCCCATCAGTGATAGACTGGATAAGGAAAATGTGGCACATATACACCATGGGATACTATGCTGCCATAAAAAAGAATGAGTTTATGTTCTTTGCAGGGACATGGATTATGCTGGAAGCCATGAGTCTCATTAACTAACACAGGAACAGCAAACCAAACACTCCTTATTCTCACTCATAAATGGGAGTTGAACAATGAGAACACATGGACACAGTGAGGGGAACATCATACATTGGGGCCTGTTAGAGGGTGGGGTGCATTAGGAGAAACACCTAATGTAGATGACGGGTTGATGGGTGCAGCAAACCACCATGGCATGTGTGTACCTATGTAACAAACCTGCATGTTCTGCACATGTATCCCAGAACTTAAAGTATAATGAAAAAAATCATCTTGGCAACCATGAGATTTAGTCTTGCTTGAATTAATTTTCTTTCTTCTTAGATGACTCTCCAAACTTACATGCCCAAAGTTTGTATTTTGTTAGAAACATTTTCTTGATTTCTTCTGTGGCATACTCATTTTCTAGTCCCTCTGGTTATTTTTCCCTGGACATGTTGGCAGCAGTAGAGGCTAATTATTTTGAATCTCGGAGGCTTAAACGGAAGTATGAGAGTGAGGCAGTAATGGCATGAAAGCTCCCTGAAGAGCTATGTATTCTATGGATGGCCATCAGTTGGAGTTGGTTTCTTGAGGTTGACCCTTCAGTAGGTCAGAGAGAGCTGGGTTGATGTTAAAGAGGGCTGAGAAGAAATTCAAACAACAAACTGGTTTGAGGATCATGTTTGGGCCCCAGGTCAGTCTTCCAGGACTCCGTATCTCCATGTCACATTCCAGACAAACTGATGGATTACAACCCAGCATCAGGTAAATGTTGAAGGGATTTGGAGAGGGAATATTAATTAAAGTTGTCATCACTTCGTGGAGTAGGCTGAAGGGAGCACTCAGGAGTAGAACTATAAAATAAAAATTTTTTAAAATGTAAAAAGGTTTATTCTACAAGCCACATACATTTTTGTTTGAGAGAACAATAAGCTTATGAAAAGTATACTGATGTAGGATTCAAAATATTGTATTATTCAAATCTTTTCTTCTGAATTTACTAGATCTATAAACTTGAGCAAGTCCTACAACCTCTTGGTGCCTGCGTTTCCTCTCTTCTGTTATATAAAAAAATCGTTCTTTAGAGGCATATTATAAGAAGAAAACAAACATACTTGTATGAAAGCAATTATATACTTAAAATTTAAGTTTATGGATAGAAAATTTGATATGAACTATCTGGTGTTTGCCAATCTTTGTTAAACACTATTCTATTATTAGGAGACTGATGGAAAAATATGTGTTACCAATCATGTTATTTACCTTTGAAACTTTATATTTTCATTTAAGTATTTTTAGGTGTACCTTTTTTTAACCACTTTTCTAGACTGAAACTGCTATTTCCATTACAAAGATTGTAGCTATTAAGATGTTGATTTTTGAGAAAATTTAGCTCTGAAAGGCCTACCACTCAGATAATCAAAGGTTGTTTAAATCCATTAGCTGGGTGTGGTGGTGCACACCTGTAATTCCAGCTGCTCTGGAGGCTGAGACAGGAGAATCGTGTGAACCTGGGAAGCGGAGGTTGCAGTGAGCTGAGATCACATCACTGCACTCCAGCCTGGGTGGCAGAACAGAAACAAAAACAAAAACAAACAACAACAAAAAGTTGTTTAAATCTATGACAATTTAGAACAAGGGAATCTGATAGCATGGAATTAAAACTATAGCAAAAGTTCTTACAAAGTAACATGAAGAGGAAGTATATAAAATAAGTCAGGTAGAATGAAAATCTAAATATTGTTTCAGTTTTGTTTATTAACATATTATATTAGAGCCATGCTTAGAAAGTTAATGAAGAGTGTATTAGGATGTAAACGTTTAAAATAATGGGCTTCATGTGTTCTTAAACCATGTGGTCAGATACTTCTACTCTGCTCACCCTTCGTTTTTTTGTGCACTCCATTTGCCAGAGATCTATAGATTCTTCTGTCTCCCAGCTCCAGTTTTTCACCCTCAAGGGGATTATCAGCCTGTTTTTAACTTTTGATTTAGGCGAATTCCGTATTATTCTTATACAGTCAGAAAGGCAAGAACTCCCTGCATCCTTTCTAGACATTTAAACTGAATTACTGAATTTAGTCTTAGATCTTTCATTTTTATTTTCTATTTTTCTTCCATTTCTTTTTATATTCATATATTTGACAGCTACTTATGTGACTATTACTATGTATCAGACAAAAATTTACCATCTTTATGTACTTCTTTTTTCTGTCTTATTTTTTTCTTTCCATTTTTCTTCTCTCTTTACTTTCTGAGTTTATCTGCTGCTATTATTTCCTTGTTACTCATTTTACCTCTATTTCCTATAAATTTTCAATATTTAAGCACAAATGAAGTATATGGAAAACCAGGGGAACAGGCTACATATACTTCTTTAATAACTTTACTGTTTTCCTCGGGTAAAGTATATAATTAATTTTATTCATAACTTTCCAAACTTACCCCAGAAACTTAATAGTACTTAATAGAACTTAATAGAAACAAATAGCTGTGCCTACTGGAAGAGAAGCAGTAGAAAAATATAAAGATTGTGAAAATGTTATTACTAATTTTGAAATGTAGGAAAAGAAACACAGCTTTCTTCAGATTTAGAACATTATCTGAGTTCTAACTAAATGAGATTCTGAAAGAGACTCTAGCAAGAAAACAATCCAGACAGAATGAAGGTAGCATTCCAAAATTGTCTTTTTAGGATTTTAATTGGACAAGGAATTACTTGAATACTGATTAAGAAGTATTCTTCTATAAGAAATCCTACAACACAGAAGAAGTCTTCCTTTGACCATAATAGATAAGGCAAAATTTGATTCAGAAATATATATGTAAAGATAAAATTGTTTCTCAGTATTGAATCAAAATATATTCATATAATAATCTTCTAATCAACTGGCAGAGATATGTGTTCCATTTCTTTGGGGATACAATACAAAATGTAATCATATATATATATATATATATATTATATATATATATATATTATTTTTTTTTTTTGAGACGGAGTCTCACTGTCTCCCAGGCTGGAGTGCAGTGGTGCGATCTCGGCTCATGGCAAGCTCCGCCCCCTCCGGGTTCACGCCATTCTGCTGCCTCAGCCTCCCGAGTAGCTGGGACTACAGGTGGCTGCCACCACACCCGGCTAATTTTTTTTTTTATTTTGAGTAGAGACGGGGTTTCACCTTGTTCGCCAGGATGGTCTCGATCTCCTGACCTCATGATCCGCCCGCCTCGGCCTCCCAAAGTGCTGGGATTGCAGGCGTGAGCCACCCCGCCCGGCCGTAATCATATTTTTAAGGCTCTATTCCTAAAGACTCACTGTCCCAGGTGAGAAATGGGAGAAGAAAGGAATTGGATAGCACCAGTTTGAATGAAGAGTGGCATTATAGAGATACAAAATGACAAGGTTTAAAAAAGGAGACGTCCCAGAAGTTTCTAGAATCACTTCTATGTAATTTTACCATGTGAGTAGTCCTACTAATATTGCAGCTACTGCTTTTGTATTATATGTGGTCTTTTATAAGTTTTTTTTTAATTTACAAAGGAAATATACATTTAATTGTCATTAAAGTACTATGGAGTTTATATGCAAGTATTTTAATTCTCTTGATCTGGTTGAACAAACCAGGTCACAAGGGTATGAAGTGACATATTTAAAGTCCATGCATTTTTAGTAAGTAAAATAAATGTATTTATTGGTTAATTAGTTACATCAATTTGAGAATTAGCAATAAAACCCTAAAACTGCCAATGGGGCATATTTTAACTCTGCTTTGACCTCTTGGGCTCTGAATTAGTAAATGATGTATATGGGTTTGGTTGTGATGAAATATCAGTGAAACTGATTGAGGTCATAGGTGAAAAATAATGATATCAAAATGCTAATGTAATCTAGGAATAACATATCAGAGCACCAAAGGAAAAAGCTTCATGATTGCTGGTTTCAACTAAATTCAAATTGATTAACATGTAGTAAATATCTATTATATTTAACATATACTCTTATGTCTAAAAGTCACGTGCTGACTCTTTTCAAAGAGTATGTAATCGATATAGTCAGGAAAACATATCGAGTACAAAAAAGACAGAAAAAAATCTCTATCTCTCCCATATATAGATATATATCTATATATGAGTATATATGTATATCATGAAAAAATTATCAAATCATATATACATGATATATATATATCATGTATATATGTCATATTTATAAATGAGTATATCATCAAGAAATTACAAATAAAATGCTCTGGACGACCAGTAAGAAAGGAGAGCAGGAAATACTTAAGGACATTTTTATATTTGAGATGATCCTTACAGGATACATAACAACAATGGCATTTCACATCAGCATAAATACAAGGGGTCAAGGGGGAAGGTCACAAGTTTGGTTGGATCAGTGAATATGTCTGCATGGTTCAAGCGATTGTTATATGAGGCCTGAGTCCAAGGTTGCATTTTAATATAATGTGTCAGAATATGGAGAGCCACTGAATAATTTTGAATTGAAATGTACATGGCCACATTTTAACGATGAAAAGACTGTTCTCCAAACCAGCTAGGTTGTTTTGAAGATGAGAGAACAATTGTAAGTAAGAATACCAGTTTGAAAGCTAGAGATCATGGGACACTGAACTATTTTCTGTATGTCTGCCTTAATGTTTTTAGATAGATACAGATTTAATAGATAGATTTGAGAGACAATGGTGAAGAAGAAATTACTCCAGCTGACATCTTACGTGACATGTATGCAATTATAATTCAAAGAGAATGATGACCTCTGCATACCAAAAGAATTGTTATTCTATAAGCAAATGAAGAAATTAGAAGTGTTAATGGATGGATACTAAAATCAGTTTTGAATTTAGTGATTCTTATGTTTAGCTGTGAAGCAAGTTTTTATCCCTATCATTTCTCACTGTCACTCATTTCATTCACACGGATACCGTAACTCAGATGACACGATTTGAAATATAGAGCTGGCCAACTAAGTACATGAACCCTACTAAGTCAGGATCACAAGAAGAATATGACATAGGGCAACTGAGAGGATCAGAAAAGTAAATAGAGGATCCTGAGCTGATTTCAGAGCAGTCACATTTTGTTTACTATCCTCTAATAAATATTTGTTTATTGTTACAAATATCATTATAAACTGCATAAATGCATAAAAATAAAACAACTGTAATACATCTGGGGATTCATAATTAGGTAAGTATATAATAATTGTTAATAGTCATTGAATTATTAGTATATGACAAGAACTGAGCTATGTTTGCAATGTACACTCTATTCCTTAATTTGTACACTAGTTCTATGAGATGGGTATAATTATGCTTATTTGAAAGATGAGAAAATTGAAGCACACAAAGATTAAATGACATCTCCAAAGTCACACAGCTAATGAATGGAATGACTGGGATTTGGAGGAAATCCCAGTCTTTTATAAATGTCTTTTATAAAACAACTAGAGAAAAACACAAGACAAATTTACTAAAAGATAAGAGTCAAACAAAAAAAGAAATTTGGGATTGTAGGGAATGGAAAAATTTGCAATTGGAGTTATTCTTTAGAAATTATATGATAAAGGAATTGTGTAATTTGGATGGGCAAAGAGCAGGATAGAGGCAATTTTGGTGGAAAAAATAGTATCAGTAATTAGAAAATATGAGAATAAAGAAGGGAGAGAGAGGGAAAATGATTAAGTTTATATGTGCTGAGAATGATGCTGAGAGATTACAAATTCATATACATCCTCAAATTTCAAGGATTCACATATTTAAAACTCTTTCTGGTGATTTCTTCCAGAGATTAAAATTTCATCAAATGTATCCAGATATTTTTAAAGTTGCATTTTCACAGCAAACAAATTTCTAAGGACTGATTGTCTTTTTGTGTGTGTAATTTTGTTTGTTTTTTTGGCTTTTTTCTCCCTATTTTTAAATGTTCTGAGTAGGACTAGCATTAAAGCTTGGAAGGGGTAAAACGAGTCATGGCACTCCATCCTTTTATCATGCAGACTTTATAAAGTGCTCCAGTTCTTATGGTGTTTTCTGACCAGGATCTGTACCAAGCAGATGAACGTGCCAAGATGTCTTCGTTCTCCCTGGCTGCACATCCTCCTGTAGTCTTCATGCCGGCCTTCGTTTGACCTGTTTTTGGGAAGTTCTGCCTTTTCCTTCTATTTTAATCTACACTCTGTTGCCACCATTACATATCCATGCATGTAGAGTTGATGGTAGTATACTAAAACTTTTTAGAAGAGAAGATATGAAAACCCAAATGGAGTGAATAGCTAACCAGAAGACATATATTAAATAAGCAAAATTCCCAACTATGTTGCTGGTGTGGTATTTATTCTGTTCTCAGTAATCTTTCAATATTACATTGATGATGTTGTCTCCACATTTCATCATAATCAGGATGTAGATGCAAATGATATTTTACTGTAATGAAGATACAGATGCCGATTAGAGCAAAAATGAAAATTTCATCTTGGCATCTCTGATCTCTAATTCTCAGTGGCTTCCTCCTACTGTTGATGTCTATCCCTAACTGTGGGTATTTAGAGGTCTCAGCTGGAATTTCACCTCCCAGTGCTAACATGTGGATCAACAATCAAAGCTCGCTAGATGATTTTATCCTATTGGGATTTTCTGACCGTCCCTGGCTAGAGACACCCCTCTGTAATCTTTCTGGTGGCCTACATCTTTTCCCTATTTGGAAATATCTCCATTATCCTAGTTTCCCATCTGGATCCCCAGCTTGACAGTCCCATGTACTTTTTTGTCTCTAATCTATCCTTTCTGGACCTCTGCTATACCACCAGCACTGTCCCACAGATGCTGGTCAACCTCCGGGGACCAGAAAAGACCATTAGCTATGGGGGTTGTGTTGCCCAACTCTATATATTTTTGGCCCTGGGTTCTACTGAATGCATACTTCTAGCCATCATGGCCTTTGACCGTTACGCTGCCATTTGCAAGCCCCTTCACTACCCAGTCATCATGAACCATAGACGCTGTATCCACATGGCTGCTGGCACTTGGATCAGTGGCTTTGCTAACTCCCTTGTCCAGTCCACTCTCACAGTGGTGGCCCCAAGATGTGGACAGAGGGTGTTGGACCATTTCTTCTGTGAAGTTCCAGCCCTTTTGAAACTAGCCTGTATTGATATTCGTGTGAATGAAATGGAGCTCAATGTACTAGGCGCTTTGCTTCTCCTGATGCCACTCACCCTCATCCTGGGCACTTATGTGTTCATTGCTCAGGCAGTAATGAGAATCTGCTCTGCTGAAAGTCGCTGGAAGGCTTTCAATACCTGTGCCTCACATTTGCTGGTGGTCTCCCTCTTCTACTTCACAGCCATCAGTATGTATGTCCAGCCTCCCTCTAGCTATTCTCATGACCGGGGGAAGATCATGGCTCTCTTTTATGGCATTGTCACACCCACCCTCAACCCATTCATCTACACATTGAGAAACAAGGATGTGAAAGCTGCCCTGAGAAGGTCACTGACTAAAGAGTTTTGGATTAAGACAAGATGATATCTGAAAAGAAGTCCTAAGAAGCGAGGATAGATGTGTTTGACTTTCAAAAAGATGTTGGACATGGAATTGATGAGGGAACAGTATCAAGTGACACAAAGTTTACAAGTGGAACAAGACTAAGAAAAAAACAATTAACTCTTGGTAAAATCTACATAGCATTTTTTCACTTACGAGACTATCTGCTTTACAATATTGGATTCCATCAAGTCAGTCTTTTTTCTCCCTATTCCTAATGACTAGCTAATCTAGTTAAAGTAAGGGAAAATGGTATAATAGCTAGAGAAAAAGATACTGAGAAAGTTTAGGAAATATATTTAGCATAAATTGTTTATAAATGAATCCCAATTAAATTAGAAATGATCCCAACTCTTAGAAAAACATGCCAGTACTATCGTGAGGTAATTTTGATCAACATGTATTGCCACCATTTAGCCATCTTCTAACATTCGATGTCCAATTATATCACCCTCAAATGCTTTTGTAAGGTCTCACAGGCAAGTAAAATCAAGAGACAATTAGTTCAAAAACATTAAGATGGAATTATGGAAAGAGAAATTAATGAACAAATTTAGAGGTGATGATTTTAAATATATTTTTTTTGCCATGAATTCTTTTAAATACAAATTTTTTTTGCCATAAATGTTTTGCCTTAGTCAATCTTATGCTCTTGTGGTACACAACAATGAGGCCTAGGTCAATGCAAATAGAACTTACTCTGGGGGGAAAGATGAACAGTGAGATGCTTTGGATAGTGATCAGCAGGGGAAAAACCTGAGGTGGAAAAAATTCTAATTTAGGGACACAAACTCAGTGGGAATTTACATGTTTTGACAAGGCAGCTTTCTTCACCACTTGACTGGGTAATTTAGTCCTATTTCAGTGTGGGGGTTTGAGAATACCATGTGGAATTCAAAACTTTGGTTGATCTATTATCTTTATTTAGAAAAAAAAGACTTTTATAGCCTTTTGCTATAAACTGCCTCACAAACCTATGAGCCGAAGAAACCAAGACAAAATAGAGTGAGTTCACCAAAAAATCCACATCATTAAAAGAACAGTGCAAAGCTCTATTTCCTGTACTGTGAGCATGTCCACTTTCTGTGGCTCCCGGTGGTGAGACAGATGAGAAGCTGGAACACAGATAAAAGGTTTTTGGGAACACTTTTGAAGGCCTGTGGCTATATAAGAGAAAGTGAGTTCATTTCCTTAATTCTAGTATAATCTGGAAAAGGATCCTAGACATTATGCATTTTTTTGATCACAGTATTTTTCCCAACCCATGGTTCATTTATACATGGAGTCTGCTATTGGCATGAAATAAAATACATCCTAATATGTATTATGAAAAAAACGCTTATTGTATTTATTTATTCTATTAAAGCAGTATATTTCTCAGAGGTTGAATGTTGGGGGTTTTTGTGGTCATTTAATAAAAATGTTAACATATTCTTGAGTTTGTTTGTTTAACTTAGAAGTATAAATAGAACTCAAAATAATTGAACATTGAAACTACTGTGTTGCATTGGAATAAACATGGATATATTATGTTGAGAAAATCACATGTATTTTTAAATTAAAATATGGGTGCTTGGAGAAATGTTTTGCTGATGTGGGTGGCTGCTCAAGATATGTCCCCCAAGCCCTAGAAATATATTTTGATTCACTTTCATTATTACAGATATGCCAGAGAAAAATTTTATCTTTAAACAGTTTTAAATTTTTGACTTTATAAAGGTATAATATTTCTGCATGTATGCTGCCTGAGATTTTGGAAGGCTATATATTTAAATATATCATTAAATAAATTATAGTACCTGTACTATCAAGCAAGCAAATCAAAATAAGGCAATGTTGAACAAGTTTAATAAGGAAATATTTTAAGTATTCCTGAAAGTATTACCAAAACATTAGTAAAGTTATTAAATATTAAAAGTTACTAAATATTACATCAATTATGCAAATAATTGGCAAGCCATTAAATAGAAATAGGCCCTGTGCTATAGGAGCAGTAGGAAAACATATTCAATAAGGTAAAAATATTTATATCAGAACAAAGTCTACTATCATATTTATTCTAGGAGAAGTGGATAATTCCCAACACTTTTAGAAATAATAGAAATTTTCTGACTCTCATCACAGTTATATATTGTTGGTTTGGATTAACTACCCAACATGATTTAAAAATAATATTAGTAAATTATTAAATAAAAATATTTATTTGTTATATCTTATAAAACAACATAAACAGCAACATTTAAATGAGCTGTTGCTATGATGAGGTTTATCTTATGATGAAAATGCATTCCTTTATTTGGTAAATATTTATTGATGGCAACTATGTACAAGTCACTGAAATAAAATTAGACATTTACCTTTACATCAAGGAATACAACTTTTGAAAAAAACTGAGAAATAAAAAAGGCAGAACTGAGCATCCAGACTAAGGCAGAATTTGTCATAAAAAGTGTCAGAAAAGATAATGCTAAACATAGAAAAATCTTTCACGACTTGCAGAATGATGTGATTTGGCTCTGTGTCCCCATCCAAATCTCATCTCGATTGTAATCCCCATATGTTGAGGGAGGGAGGTGACTGGATCGTGGGGGTGGTTTCTCCTATTCTGGTCTCGTGACAGTGAGTTACTTTTCATGAGATCTGATGGTTTTACAAGCCTCTGGCATTTCCCCTGCTTGCACTTCTCTCTCCTGCCACCATGTGAAGAAGGTCAGTGCTTCCTCTTCACCTTCCACCATGATTGTAAGTTTCTTGAGGCCTCCCCAGCCATGTGGAACTGTGAGTCAATTAAACCTCTTTTCTTTACAAATTACCCAGTCTTGGGTATTTCCTTATAGCAGTATGAAAATGGACTAATACACAGAGAGAGGGCCCTGCTTGAGTTTAGCTGAGCGCTGATTTGCATGTGTGTGAGGAAGCTATCCAAGAATGAGGAAAGAACCACTTAATGGATTAAGGTAAATAGTGCCCAATGCTTATGCAAAGGCTGGGAATTTTGTGGGTTCTCAAGCTATTTATGTGCCAGAATGAAAACCTAAGAATTCCTGAGGCATTGAGTTTAGCAATCAAAAGTGTCTTGCTTCAAGAATTTCAATAATTAGCTCTAAACTAAACACTGTTCTGGTTTTACCTAACAAATCTTCAAAACAAGTGACTAAAGTATCAAACTGTATCCAAGTAACTTAGTAACACTCCAGAATAAACTCAAGGGTATTTATAGGATTACAGATATACCCAGTAAAAGAAAATTTTCCAATGAAAATTTACTAAGCATGAAAAAAAGCAGGAAAATATGATGTAAGGAGAAAAATCAATAAATCAAACCTGACTCAGAACTGACACATATGTTAGAATGATTCAAGTTATGGCATTAAAACAATTATACTGTTTACCATATGTTCAAAAATTTAGAGACGAGGAAGATACTTTAAAAAATCAAACTTCTAGAGATGAAAACCACAACGTTTAAATATACATAATACCTAAAAGCACTGAATGTAATTCATAGTACACTAAACATTGAGAAGTCCCATGATCTGCAGTTGGCATGCTGGAGTTCCTGGGCCTTGGGAGGAGGCTCTGTGCAGGCCTCCCAGGGCCAGTCCCCTGGGGTCTGCTCTATACAGGTCACCCGAGGCGTTAGGGTGACCTCGGAGCCTGCCACTCCCGACAGCCAGACCCAGGGCCTGCGTTCTGCTCTATCCAGGGCCTCCCTGAAAGCCCCTGCCCGACTAGGCACAGCTGCAGCCGCCAAAGTCGGTGCAGTATACCCGGGGCTCCTGTGTGCTGGGAGCAGGCAGGAGCTCTGCCCACCCTGGGCGCGGCTGCAGCCACCCACGTCAGGGTTGTAGACTTGGGCCTCCATGTGCTCTTGAGGGCTGGGAGCAGGCAGGAGCCCCACACCCCCAAGCACAGCTGCAGCTGTCCAAATGGAGACAGTAGATGTGGGCCTCCGTGTGCTCTTGAGAGCCAGGGAAGGCCCCCTTTGCCATTGCAGGCTCAGAGGTGCCTGCTCCTACTGCCTGGTCTCTTCCCACTCTCTGCAACTGATCCAATCTAGGAGTAGGTGGAGCTGAGCCCAGGCACTGTCACAACCCTGCCAGGTATATGCATGATCGAGCCCTGCCACCTCAGCCCCCTCTGGATGTTGGGCCAGACAAGAGTGGATGCGGGCAAAGCGTTGGCCTGCAGGTGCCCCTTGGCACCATGAAAGGCGTCAGGAGGCAGACGGGCTCCTAGGTGGAAGGGAGTGGGTCCCTGTAAGGCCCCATCCTCAGGCCAGGAAGAGCCTGAAGGCTGGGAGTCAGGCTGCCACACCGGTGGACTGGAGTGGGGTCTTGTGGTGCCTTTTTCTGCCCACCCATGGCCACGGATGGACCACTCCATATGCACTTCCTCCCCTCTGAGGTCCATAAAAGCCCCAGGATCAGCAATAGCATGGTAGAGGACAACTGAGAGATGACGAGATGACCAGCTGCAGAGAGTAGCTATCCTCTCTGCTGAGAGCTGGGAAGTCAATGGGGACCTGCCTGCAGAGAGGAGCCACCTCTCCAAACACACCCAGAATGATGTTCGACCAAATATAGGCCTGTCTCATTTTATTGTGCTTCACTTTATTGCACCTGAAGGTTTGTGGCAACCTTGCAAGAGCAAATCTATCAGTATCATTTTTCCAACGGCATGTGCTCCCTTCATATCTCTATGTGACGTTTTGGTAATTCTCACAATATTTCAGACTTTTTCGTTATTATTGTATCGTTATTGTCAGGCCTCTGAGCCCAAGCTAAGCCATCGCATCCCCTGTGACCTGCATGTATATGCCCAGATGGCCTGAAGTAACTGAAGAATCACAAAATAAGTGAAAATGGCCTGTTCCTGCCTTAACTGATGACATTCCACCACAAAAGAAGTGAAAATGGCCGGTCCTTGCCTTAACTGATGACATTACCTTGTGAAATTCCTTTTCCTGGCTCATCCTGGCTCAAAAAACCTCCCCCACTGAGCACCTTGTGACCCCCACTCCTGCCCGCTAGAGAACAACCCCCCTTTGACTAATTTTCCTTTACCTACCCAAATCTTATAATATGGCCCCACCCCTATCTCCCTTAGCTGACTCTCTTTTCGGACTCAGCCCGCCTGCACCCAGGTGATTAAAAAGCTTTATTGCTCACACAAAGCCTGTTTGGTGATCTCTTCACACGGACGCAGGTGAAAGTTATGGTGACGTGTGATCAGTGATCTTTGATGTTACTATTGTAATTGTTTTAGGGAACCACAAACTGCCCATGTAAGTCAGTGAACTTAATTGATAAATGATGTATGTTTTGATTGCTCCACCCACTGGCTGTTCCACCATCTCTCCCTCTCTTCAGGCCTCTCTATTTTCTAAGACACAACAATATTGAAATGAGACCAATTAATAATCCTACAATGGCCTTTAAGTATTCAAGTGAAAGGAAGAGTCACATGTCTCTTATTTAAATCAAAAGCTAGAAATGATTAAGCTTAGTGAAGAAGGCCTATCAAAAGCCAAGACAGGCCAGAAGCTAGGGCTTTTGCACCAGTTAGCCAAGTTGTGAATGTAAAGAAAAGTTATTGAAAAAAATTAAAATGCGCTACTCCAGTAAACACATAAATAAGATAGCAAAACAGTCTTATTGCTGATATGGAGAAAATTTTTTGTGGTCTGGATAGAAAATTTTAAAAAGCTAGGGAAAAAAAGAAAAATAAATCCATGTCAGTAGAAGCCAGAAAATAATAAAGAAAATATTTAATAATTGAAAGTAATAAAATAGAAAATAATAGATAAATTAATTTTTGTATTTTTTGTAGAGACAGGGTCTCACCATGTTGCCCAGGCTGGTCTTGAACTCATGTGCTCTAGTGATCTGCCTGCCTTGGCCTCCCAAAGTGTTGGGATTGCAGGCATGAGCCACCTCGCCCTGCCTGAGTTAAACTTCTAGTGGAAAACCCCTTTTATATAAGCCACAAGCAGTTTCAGACTGTCCAATGTTATTATTACTAACATAAATTAATGTAGGCTTTCTTTTATCCTAGAGGAGTTGTGGAAAAACATCCTCATGGCATGAATTATGAGTCAGAATATTAAAGGCATAGACACAGGAGTTGGAAATTGAAAGTGTAGATGAAAAAAAAAGAAAAAGAATTTTACAATATCAAAATTAGATTTTTTCACTGAATTCAAAAAGGTCTCCACAAAACTTTTGTAAGGGATTCAAACCCTTCCTTTAAAAAATAAATAAATAAATATTTCTTAATATCAGTCTGTAGTTACTGTATCATCAGGAACAGGTTTTGAAAATTATTGTTTATGCTGAGAAAACAACTATCTGAATATAACTAATAACCATTATTACTAGATTGATTCTAGGAACATAGATAAATTTAAATTTATTTTTAAAAGACAAACATTTTTAATATTTGAAAATATAGGTCACCCTGAGCTTTCTAGTAATTGGAATGAATGACAATTGCTTTTGTTTGCTAACACATCCATTTGTCTACAATTTTCTTAATGTATTTAATTCTGAAATGATTCATTCAGTTTCGGTCTGATGAAGAGAGTAAAGTGAAAATATTACTCATCAATTGAAATATTACTATAGGGTCTTTTTGTAACTGATTTCTTTGTCATTGGATGCTCTTAGCATGTATTGATTAGATTTAATCAATCTTAAAAAAAAGAAAAACACACATCTCTCAAATTTTAATGTGCCTTTATCTTGGAAAGTATTTTATTAAAGTTTATCCTATTTGAACTATCCCACAGTTTTCTCTAAATTATCCATTATTGTTGTATGTTGAAATTTTTGGATTATTTGTCTACTAACCACCATGTATAATATTGAATCCACCTACCATCTGTATCCAAAGCTTTTACAAAAACATTGATCAGATCACAATCAAAGTCAATGTTAAAATAGAAAATTCTTTCCTCAAAATGAAAAAAACCTGAGTATTTTTTAATCATTCATTAATTGTCTCTTATTGTTCATAAACAGCCTTATGAAAACGTGTGATCCTTACTGAGACACCATATTGTGGTACTTAATGTGGTACTATATTTGTCACTGGAGATCAAAATAAAGTTTATTGGTCTGCAACATTTACAATTCAGTTTCTTATATTTATATATATAATTCATATATATAATACACATAATATAAATCATATACATTATATATATATATATACACACACACATGGGAACTTAGAGCTATTTTTAAACATTTGCCAAGTAGAATATACAATATATTAAATTTTTGATATTAAAAGTTTTAAAAAATTTTCTTTCAATGCTAAGAAGGTAGATTTTATGTTAAGTGTCCTTATCATGATTTCAAAAATGCCTTTTCCAAGGCATTCAATTAGGAAAAGAGGAAGTCAAATTGTCCCTCTTTGCAGATGATATGATTGTATATCTAGAAAACCCCATCGTCTCAGCCCAAAATCTCCTTAAGCTGATAGGCAACTTCAGCAAAGTCTGAGGATAAAAAATCAATGTGCAAAAATCACAAGCATTCTTATACACCGATAACAGACAGAGAGCCAAATCATGAGTGAACTCCCATTCACAATTGCTTCTAAGAGAATAAAAACCTAGGAATCCAACTTACAAGGGATGTGAAGGACCTCTTCAAGGAGAACTACAAACCACTGCTCAATGAAATAAAAGAGGATACAAACAAATGGAAGAACATTCCATACTCATGGGTAGGAAGAATCAATATCGTGAAAATGGCCATACTGCCCAAGGTAATTTATAGATTCAATGCCATCCCCATCAAGCTACCAATGACTTTCTTCACAGAGTTGGAAAAAACTACTTTAAAGTTCATATGGAACCAAAAAAGAGCCTGCATTGCCAAGTCAATCCTAAGCCAAAAGAACAAAGCTGGAGGCATCACACTACCTGACTTCAAACTATACTACAAGGCTACAGTAACCAAAATAGCATGGTACTGGTACCAAAACAGATATAGACCAATGGAACAGAACAGAGGCCTCAGAAATAATGCCACATATCTACCAGTATCTGATCTTTGACAAACCTGACAAAAACAAGCAATGGGGAAAGGATTCTCTATTTAATAAATGGTGCTGGGAAAACTGGCTAGCCATATGTAGAAAGCTGAAACTGGATCCCCTCCTTACACCTTATACAAAAATTAATTCAAGATGGATTAAAGACTTCAATGTTAGACCTAAAACCAGAAAAACCCTAGAACAAAACCTAGGCAATACCATTCAGGACATAGGCATGGGCAAGGACTTCATGTCTAAAACACCAAAAGCAATGGCAACAAAAGCCAAAATTGATAAATGGAATCTAATTAAACTAAAGAGCTTCTGCACAGCAAAAGAAACCACCATCAGAGTGAACAGGCAACCTACAGAATGGGAGAAAATTTTTGCAACCTACTCATCTGACAAAGGGCTAATATCCAGAATCTACAATGAACTCAAACAAATTTACAAGAAAAAAACAACCCCATCAAAAAGTGGGCAAAGGATATGAACAGACACTTCTCAAAAGAAGACATTTATGGAGCCAAAAAACACATGAAAAAATGCTCATCATCACTGGCCATCAGAGAAATGCAAATCAAAACCACAATGAGATACCATCTCACACCAGTTAGAATGGCAATCATTAAAAAGTCAGGAAATAACAGGTGCTGGAGAGGATATGGAGAAACAGGAACACTTTTACACTGTTGGTGGGACTGTAAACTAGTTCAACCATTGTGGAAGTCAGTGTGGCAACTCCTCAGGGATCTAGAACTAGAAATACCATTTGACCCAGCCATCCCATTACTGGGTATATACCCAAAGGATTATAAATCATGCTGCTAGAAAGACACATGCACACATATGTTTATTGTGGCGCTATTCACAATAGCAAAGAGTTGGAACCAACCCAAATGTCCAACAATGATAGACTGGATTAAGAAAATGTGGCACATATACACCATGGAATACTATGCAGCCATAAAAAAATGATGAGTTCATGTCCTTTGTAGGGACATGGATGAAGCTGGAAACCATCATTCTCAGCAAACTATCACAAAGGACAAAAACCCAAACATCGCATGTTCTCACTCATAGGTGGGAATTGAACAATGAGATCACATGGACACAGGAAGGGGAACATCACACTCTGGGGCCTGTTGTGGGGTGGGGGGAGTGGGGAGGGATAGCATTAGGAGATATACCTAATGCTAAATGACTAGTTAATGGGTGCAGCACACCAACATGGCACATGTATACATATGTAACAAACCTGCACGTTGTGCACATGTATCCTAAAATTTAAAGTATAATTTAAAAAAATGCCTTTTCCATAATCACACATATTTAAGAATGGAATTCATTCACTTTTGAGTAAAAATTATTCATCTGGGGGATTGTTAAAATGAGGGCTGGATTATCAGTTTCAGAGTAATTTTAGAAAAGACACCATGTTTGAAGAAAGTTTAGCTCTCTAAGTCATGGTTTTATTCTGAGATTCTTTGATTCTACTATTATGTATGGGTTTATGTAAATAATTACTAAGTATTCCTTTTTTTTTTTACATAAGGCCAGTGCAATCATGCATGATTTTATTGGTGACCAGTTAAAATGAAACTGTTAATTAATGAAAAAAATCCTTTTTACTAGAAAAACCTGTGAACCTGTGTTACAGAAAACGAGTTATGTATAATATTCATTTTTTTAACCTGAAATGCATCGACTACAAGAGTTAGCTAAACCAAGATAATAATTAACTACTTCCCACTGAGGCAATTCCCTGAGGGAGAGGTCCATGAAATCCCCTGCTTTGAACTCATAGTTTTTATCTGAAACACCAACTTTCCTGCACAGGATTTTTGTCCCCAGTGCCTGGACAGCACTGGCTTCATTTCAAATACCCCTTAGTTAATAGGAAATTTAAATGTCCCTGGGCAGTTACATCCTGTTTGGTCCTATATAAAAGCGTTTCAGTCCTTTCCTTACATGGAAATTTCACTGACTGAAACACCAGCTTGATTCTAGAACAAAGATGCTCAGTCTCAGGATCAATTGAGATTTGTTTCTACCGAGAGATCCACTCTGGTGAGTAAAACTTCTTCAAATTTTATGGAATTTATCCAACATTTATGTAGCACCTGCTTAGTGCCAGCGACTATGCGAGTCTTCAAAGTTATAACTCTAAATAAGATACATAATTTCTCACTCCTTAACTAAGAACAGTTTAAATAAGCTGCGATATCTATGCAAATAAGGTAGTATAAATTATAAAAAAGTATATAAAGCATAAAAAAGTTAGTATAAATTATAAGGAATCTTAAATGAATGCAATCTGGGCTCCAAAGAGTGACAATTCTTCTTGGGTCGACAGTTAAACTCAGGTGAATTATAAATGGAAAGAGACAATGTAGCTGTGTTAAAAGATAGTTAAGTATTTGCCAAACAAATGAGGGGAGATTTTTTTTCTTTTTTTTTTCTTTTTTTTTTTTTTTTTTGAGACGAGTCTCGCTCTGTCACCCAGGCTGGAGTGCAGTGGCGCGACCTTGGCTCACTGTAACCTCCGCCTCCTGGGTTCAAACAATTCTCCTGCCTCAGCCTCCCTAGTAGCTGGGATTACAGGTGCCCACCACCGTGCCCGGCTAATTTTTGTATTTTTAGTAGAGATGGGGTTTCGCCATTTTGGCCAGGCTGGTTTTGAACTCCTGACCTCAGGTGATCTGCCCACCTCAGCCTCCCAAAGTGCTGGGATTACAGGTGTGAGCAACCGTGCTCAGCCATGAGGGGCAATTCTAATGGGAGGACTTCCAGACAGGAGGGATAGTGTGATTTAAGAAAAGAAACACAGCATGGTGATACAACCTGATTGATTTATTAAGAGTAATTAAGTCAGTCGCCATTATTAGACATGGAGATTGGCATGGGGTTAGAGAAGTCACAATGATAGATAATACTGGAATGGCAGTCAGGAAGCATTGTAAAGATATTGTTTGCCATCCTAAGCTTTTTGGGCATCATTGCATAATCAAGTCAATAAAGAGCTAAAAGCTAAATTAATGTTACAAGATGTGATCTGCATCACCATTTGTCCTGGCAACAGCATTGAAGTTGGATTAGAAATACATAAAACTGAAGAATAAAATATTGCCAGAGATAATGAAGGTTTGAACTAATCTGTACGTGTGACAGCAAGATGTAATAACTACAACAGATAGTAAGCAAATAAAATTTTGGTGTTTGATTGGATATACAGATTAAAGCAAAGTTGTGCCATTCTTTGAAATAGGTCACAGTGACAGGGAGATGTCTGGGAGAAGAGATGAGTCCTTATGGGAAAGACCCATTCAGGGACAGTGATGTGCCAACCGTGAAGCAGGATATGAGGACCTGCAACCCAGGGGACCTGCAACCCAGAAGACCTATGGTAGTGCTCGAAACAGCAGACTATTATTTTCTATTGTGTAGGAAAATAGTTAATCTGTCTTCTTTAAAAGGCACAGGAATATTTTTGAGTAAACAAAAGTACAGAAAGAAAGTGTCAGGACAAATTTTTGGAAACCATCAAATTTCAATAAATGTTAAAAGAAGACCCAGATAACGAGACTAAGAAAAAATATTCAGAGAGGAAATAGAAAACCAGAACTAAGTGGCATAGAGCCAATGGAAGTCAGCTGTTTTAGAAGAAAGAACTGTATAATAGTGTCATATATTTGAGAAACAAAATTTAAAATAAAAACAAAATAGAAAGAGTGCATTGAATTTACCGTTGTGATAGTTATTTGTGGATTTGCTGGAGCTGTTTGTGAGGACTCATGAAGCAAGAATGATTAACATGGTTCAAGAATTGAACCAAATGTGCCAGGGCACAGAATGATACCCTATTCTGCTCATAAAGCATGGCTGTAAAGAGAAGGGACATTATAAGTAAGTCCTAAGTGTGGAGTGAAGACTTTTCTTTTTCTTTAAAATGGATGAGTCTTAAGATTATCTCTATCTATCTATCTATCTATCTATCTATCTATCTATCTATCTATCATCTATCTATCTCTAATCTATCATCTATCAACAGAGCATAGTGAAACAATCTGGTTCATTAAGAGTAATCTCAGTAAATCAACATTATTAGAATTTTTAGACATGGAGTTTGTGTTGATTTTATACACACACATATACAGACACACACACACACATAAAATGTGCACTATTATGAAAGAGAGAGAGAGAGCAAGTGCATACTGTGGCAAAGATGCCCTTTGCGATAGAGCAAGGTTGAGTATAGGGTTGGTCACTGACTTGGAAAGGAAAAAAGAGCTCTTTCTCTGCCTTTGAAACCCTAGAGTGGGTGGAATTAAATCATGTTAGAGATCATTTCGTTTATATACAGGTAGGAAACTGAGGGGCTTAACATATAATTACCTATGTTTTCTCATTGAAGTTATTGGCAATGCTACCTCCCAGGAAATAGAGGAAAATAGTGAAGAAGAGACACAGGATGCTAACTCTTTAGAGCAGCTACTGGAATGAATTAGAGTTTACCTACATAACATATTTGCACATGTACCACTGAACCTAAAAGAGAACTACTTTCAAAAAAATTGAGGGTTTCAACATATGAGAGGTAAAAAACGGAAAAGTTTAGAAATGTTTTGTAGGATAAAATTTGCATACAAGTGGTTAGTGAAGACAGAAAAAAATGCTTGGGGGAAACAAATGACATTGAAAGAATCATTATACTCTCCACCAAAAAATGTTTAGTTTTATTATAAATAAAGTATTTAATGCAGGTATGACTTGGAAGGATTGAACACAGGTTTTATATGTTCTCGCAGTATCATCCTTAATCCTAAGAGTATCTCCACACGTATATGATTCCCTTCCTTCTTATTTGATAAGTGATGAATTAATCAATACAATTTGGAACTAGTGAAATTAAAATGATGAAATTTTCCATTTATTAATCAGATATAAAAATTATTATCTATGTCTTCAAAGAAAATAAAAATGAAAATAGGTTGGTGGGAGTTGTTGAGAGGAGAATATGGTGTGTGCATTCAAGTTTTTTCTTACGATTTTTCTCCTCCTTCCCTCTATGGAGAAACCTTAATGGGGAGGCTAAATGATAGAGGTTTTTCTTAGATTACATTAACAATGTGTATTAGAAGTGGTAAGTAACACGATGCTTTTGATTTTCAAGCCAGAGACAGTAAGTTTTAAAATATAAGTGAATTGCTTTCATCTATTCACATTTTATTTTAAATTCCAAAACTACCATCCAATATTTGGAGCAAGTTAAGCCAGGCATTAAGATTGGCAGCACTGGGGATTAAGCTATATCTTATGGAGGACCAGGAAAACTGTAGGAGCAAGAAAGCTAGAGAAACTTTGAAGAAAGTAACCCCTGTTTTCCTCTGATTCCTACTGCCATGAAGCAGGGGATGTGACCATCAGTGAGGGATTAAGGGCCCTTCCAGCCCTGAGACTGTTCCTTGTGGAAAAAAAAAATTTCCTAAAAATTAGTTTCAGTCAGTTCTCAAAATAAATTACAGCAAAATCAAAAAGATCTTGGTTTAAGTGATTTTTAACCTTTTCCTACAGCTTAGGGATTAATAAATGAAACAAACTACAATATCAGATGCAGTTACTTCAAAATCAGATGCATTAACTCATGTAACTTAGCCATTAAGTTTTTGTCTATATAGAACTGAAATCAATTATGTAGATATCCCGTTAAATAAGTATTTACTTAGAACCTATATGTTAGATGCCTTTGGTCAAGGGTGAAGAAATGGACAGAAATGATGAAGGAATAGTCTTTGTGCAGAAGAAACTCAGTGAAAATGATACTGATTGACCTTTCAACAAATGCACAGATTTAAAAAGAAAAAAAAGAGGCAAAAATTAGTTAGCAGAGTGATTCTGATACACAAAATAATTCTATGATGGTGTTGATTCTATAATAATAGCACATTTAAAATGAAATAGGAAAAGTTACATCATTTAATCCTCCTAACAATTGTTACATCTGGTATAGATTTTTTTTTTGTTTGGTTGGTTATTTTAAGAAATGGGCTCCCACTATCTAATATATTTCAAGTCCTAGAAAGAAATATATATATATATTTTTTCATTCAGGAACTCACAATGAGACACAGCACTAGAAAGATATATACTCTACTACCTAGCATTCTGCCTATCACATAGATTTTAGAAAATCTCTTTATTTCTTCAAATGGATTTGATTGAAAATGTCCAACCCCAAGTTGTCATAAGAATTTTGAGAATTAAACGTTCTTTGACGGTGAACCTTTGTCACTTAGTTGCAAGATCTCCAAAGCTCAGGATTCAATGCCTGATATCAGTGGCATCTGCATTTTACAATTTTGAGACATTTCATTTTTCAAAATTTCTATGAAAAGTTTATTACAATCAAATGTAATCTTTTTAAAGTGTTAAGAGCTTTTCAAAGGAAAAAATATGACTGTTCTTTGAGCTAACCTCTCTTCTAGATTAGCTTCTGAGCTGTTTCTAGATCTGCCTCTGAGCTGTTTCTAGATCCATTTGCAAGGTGGTATCAATAACTTCATGTTAGCTGGTTAGCAAAAGAAGCTATATAGTGCATCGTTGTAATACTAAGGCATCATATAGAAGATGTAATGAGATTGGTATGCTAGAATCATTTTCATTGACTTTATTGAAGGTAAAGACTTTATCATTTCCATCAATTTCTCCCTCTTTGACAATGCAAACTCTGCTCCAGAAAATGTTTATGACTTGTTGATCACATTCAGGGATTCTATTTCTGAATAATTGCTAAAACGTTTTTGAATTGAATATTAACTAATCGCAATGAAAATAAATTCATCTCATTTCAGTACCTCCTTGCTGAGGAATTGAGTTACTTGACACACAAATATATTAGATGTCATGCATTTTCTTCCTACTGTCTTTGGCTTCCTAAACAGAGTCACACTTGGTATCTTCAGAGAGACTATGGTCAATTTGACTTCAATGAGTGGATTCCTTCTTATGGGGTTTTCTGATGAGCGTAAGCTTCAGATTTTACATGCATTGGTATTTCTGGTGACATACCTGCTGGCCTTGACAGGCAACCTCCTCATTATCACCATCATTACCGTGGACCGTCGTCTCCATTCCCCCATGTATTACTTTTTAAAGCACCTCTCTCTTCTGGACCTCTGCTTCATCTCTGTCACAGTCCCCCAGTCCATTGCAAATTCACTTATGGGCAACGGTTACATTTCTCTTGTTCAGTGCATTCTTCAGGTTTTCTTCTTCATAGCTCTGGCCTCATCAGAAGTGGCCATTCTCACAGTGATGTCTTATGACAGGTACGCAGCAATCTGTCAACCACTTCATTATGAGACTATTATGGATCCCCGTGCCTGTAGGCATGCAGTGATAGCTGTGTGGATTGCTGGGGGCCTCTCTGGGCTCATGCATGCTGCCATTAACTTCTCCATACCTCTCTGTGGGAAGAGAGTCATTCACCAATTCTTCTGTGATGTTCCTCAGATGCTGAAACTAGCCTGTTCTTATGAATTCATTAATGAGATTGCACTGGCTGCATTCACAACGTCTGCAGCATTTATCTGTTTGATCTCCATTGTGCTCTCCTACATTCGCATCTTCTCTACAGTGCTGAGAATCCCATCAGCTGAGGGCCGGACCAAGGTCTTCTCCACCTGCCTACCACACCTATTTGTAGCCACCTTCTTTCTTTCAGCTGCAGGCTTTGAGTTTCTCAGACTGCCTTCTGATTCCTCATCGACTGTGGACCTTGTATTCTCCGTATTCTATACTGTGATACCTCCAACACTCAATCCAGTCATTTATAGCTTACGGAATGATTCCATGAAGGCAGCACTGAGGAAGATGCTGTCAAAGGAAGAGCTTCCTCAGAGAAAAATGTGCTTAAAAGCCATGTTTAAACTCTGAAGAACCATACAAATGAAAGGCATTGTTATTATGTTTCAGATTGGAAGAGAGGTGAATCTTATTTCTACCCAGAATGCTCTTCCAAGCTGTCTATTGTATATATTCCTCTCAAATATAATTCTTTAAAATTTAAGATGTTGTGCTCTAATAATATTAGCTTTCCTTCCTCCCTCCAATTCAAGTGTTATTTTAAGTCATCTTTGGAAAATTTTTCTGAAATGAAGGAGAAAGACAATTAGTTTGGAGTCTGGCCTGTATAATTTAAAACTTGTTATTAACAAATAAGGTTGGAGATAGATGAAGCTAACTGGGTTAATATTATGGTGCATATATGGTATTTCCAGTGGGCCTCCTAGTTTTCTATCCATATTAAGTATTCATATTAAGTTCTTTTACTATTATTACAGTGGTGATTTCAACAATTTATTCAGCCCCTAGTAAGTATCAAGTGCTTTATATATATACATTTTTTTGACTCAAGAAAACAACTCTTCTAGCTATAACATATTGTCCCCATTTTGCCAATAGGAACAATAAATTTAGGAAGGATTAGTTAATTTTCCTGAGATTTCTCAAATAAATGGTAGTTAAGCTCTGATTCAAATTAATATTTGTCTGACTCAAACAATAAGGTCATTTATGTTCCTTACTGATGGCAAATGCATTATTACCCAAATGTGAGTGTGTATGTTTATGTGTGTGTGTGATGTGTATAATCTATAAATATAAGCATATACTACTATAATCTATTAATAAAATTGTCATCACCCTTGTGCATCCCTATTACTGGAGGTATTTATATTAATTCCTTTACTTTTCTGATCTGTACAAGAGTTTGACAAATTGGTTTTACAGAGTTAGGCAGGGGATGCTCCCTAGTTCCATGAAACAGAATATAGATAAACTGCAAATGAAGAGTTCCAACTTATGAATGTGTGAGATAAGGAGGCACAAATCTTGTGAATCTGAATATCTGATTCAATTTTGTGTAATGCTGCAGATTTCTTCAAGAAAGACTCATAATTTACAAGAGTACAAAACTGGACTAGTCCCCTCAGTTTTGAAGTAAATCAAAGTGCATGTTTTAATGACAAAGGGAATAAGCAATTGCTCAGTAATGGGGAATGTTTTTATAGGACTTTTTTGAATTAATGGTTATAATATCTACATATGCATATACCTTAGTAAGTTTTTTTTCTTTAATCTGCCACATGAGATTTTTTCTTTTTTTTATATACTTTAAGCTCTGGGGTACATGTGCAGAACTTGCAGGTTTGTTACGTAGGTATATACATGCCATGGTGGTTTGCTGCACCCATCAACCTGTCAACTACGTTAGGTATTTCTCCTAATGCTATCCCTCCCTTACCCCCTCACCCCCAAACAGGCCCCAGTGTGTGATGTTCCCCTACCTGTGTCCATGTGTTCTCATTGTTCAGCTCCTACTTATGAGTGAGAACATGCAATGTTTAGTTTTATGTTCTTGTGTTAGTTTGCTGAGAATGATGGTTTCCAGCTTCATCCATGTCCCTGCAAAGGACATGAAATCATCTTTTTTATGGCTGCATAGTATTCCATAGTATTCCATGGGTGTATATGTGCCACCTTTTCTTTATCCAGTGTATTATTGATGGGCATTTGGGTTGGTTTCAAGTCTTTGCTATTGTGAACAGTGCCACAATAAACATACGTGTGCATGTGTCTTTATAGTAGAATGATTTATAATCCTTTGGGTATATACCCTGTAAAGGGATTCCTGGGTCAAATGGTATTTTTGGTTCTAGATCCTTGAGGAATCGCCACACTGTTTCCACAATGGTTGAACTAGTTTACAGTCCCACCAACAGTGTAAAAGTGTTCCTGTTTCTCCACGTCCTCTCTAGCATCTGTTGTTTCCTGCCTTTTTAATGATAGCCATTCTAACTGGCATGAGATGGTATCTCATTATGGTTTTGATTCACATTTCTCTGATAACCAGTGATGATGAGCTTTTTTTCATATGTTTGTTGGCCACATAAATGTCTTATTTTAAAAAGTGTCTGTCAGGCCGGGGCATTGGCTCATGCCTGTAATCCCAGCATTTTAGGGGGCCGCAGCAGGCAGATCACGAGGTCAGGAGATTGAGACCATCCTGGCTAACATGGTGAAACTCCATCTCAACTAAAAATACAAACACTTAGCTGGGCATGGTGCCATGAACCTGTAATCCCGGCTACTCAGGAGGCTGAGGCAGGAGAATCGCTTGAACCTGGAGAATCCCAAAAGTGTCTGTTCACATCCTTCGCCCACATTTTGATGGGGTTGTTTGTTTTTTTCTTGTAAATTTGTTTAAATTCTTTGTAGATTCTGGATATTAGCCCTTTGTCAGATGGATAGATTACAAAAATTTTCTCCCATTCTGTAGGTTGCCTATTCACTCTGCTGATGATTTCTTTTCCTGTGCAGAAGCTCTTTAGTTTAATTTGATCCCATTTGTCAATTTTGGCTTTTGTTGTCATTGCTTTTGATGTTTTAGTCATGAAGTCTCTGCCCATGCCTAAATCCTGAATGGTATTGCCTAGGTTTTCTTCTTGGGTTTTTATGGTTTTAGGTCTTACGTTTAAGTCTTTAATCCATCTTGAGTTAATTTTTGTATAAGGTATAAGGAAGGAGTCCAGTTTCAGTTTTCTGCATATGGCTAGCCAGTTTTCTCAACAGCATTTATTAAATAGGGGATTCTTTCCCCATTGCTTGTTTTTGTCAAGTTTGTCAAAGATCAGATGGTTGTAGATGTGTGGCATTATTTCTGAGGCCTCTGTTCTGTTCTGTTGGTCTATATATCTGTTTTGGCACCAGTAACATGCTGTTTTGGTTACTGTAGCTTTGTAGTATACTTTGAAGTCAGGTAGCATGATGCTTCCAGCTTTGTTCTTTTTGCTTAGGATTATCTTGGCTATGTGGGCTCTTGTTTGGTTCCATATGAAATTTAAAGTAGTTTTTTCCTATTCTGTGAAGAAAGTCAATGGTAACTTGATGGGGATAGCATTGAATCTATAAATTACTTTGGGCAGTATGGCCATTTTTCATGATATTTATTCTTCCTACCCATGAGGATGGAATGTTTTTCCATTTGTTTGTGCCCTCTCTCCTTGAGCAGTGGTTTGTAGTTCTCCTTGAAGAGGTCCTTCACATGCCTTGTAAGTTGTATTCCTGGGTATTTTATTCTCTTTGTAGCAGTTATGAATGGGAGTTCACTCATGATTTGGCTCTCTGTTTTTTTTATTATTGGTGTATAGGAATGCTTGTGGTTTTTGCACATTGATTTTGTATCCTGAGACTTTGCTGAAATTGCTTATAAGCTTAAGGAGATTTTGGGCTGAGACGATGGGGTTTTCTAAGTATAGAATCATGTCATCTGCAAACAGAGACAATTTGAATTCCTCTCTTTCTATTTGAATACCTTTTATTTTTTTCTCTTGCCTGATTGCCCTGGCCAGAACTTCCAACATTATGTTGAATAAGAGTGGTGAGAGAGGGCATCCTTGTCTTGTGACAGTTTTCTCAGGGAATGCTTCCAGGTTTTGCCCATTCAGTATGATATTGGCTGTGAGTTTGTCATAGATAGCTTTTATTATTTTGAGATACATTCCATCAATATCTAGTTTATTGAGAGTTTTTAGCATGAAGGGCTGCTGAATTTTGTCGAAGGCCTTTTCTGCATCTATTGAGATAATCATGTGGTTTTTGTCATTGGTTCTGTTTATGTGATAGATTCCATTTATTGATTTGCATATTTGAATCAGCTTTGCATCCCAGGAATGAAGCTGACTTGATCATGGTAGATGAGCTTTTTGATGTGCTGCTGGATTCGGTTTGCCAGTATTTTATTGAGGATTTTCACATCAATGTTCATCAGGGATATTGGCCTGAAATTTTCTTTTTTTGTTGTGTCTCTGCCAGGTTTTGGTATCAGGTTGATGCTGGCCTCATAAAATGAGTTATGGAGGATTCCCTCTTTTTCTATTGTTTGGAATATTTTCAGAAGGAATGGTACCAGCTCCTTTTTGTACTTGCGGTAGAATTCGTCTGTGAATCTGTCTGGTTCTGGGCTTTTCTTGGTTGGTAGGCTATTAACTACTACCTCCATTTCAGAACATGTTATTGGTCTATTCAGGCATTAGACTTCTTCCTGGTTTAGTCTTGGAAGGGTTTATGTGTCCAGGCATTTATCCATTTTTTCTAGATTTTCTAGTTTATTTGCATAGAGATGTTTATAGTATTCCCTGATGGTAGTTTCTATTTCTGTGGGATCAGCAGTGATATGCCATTTATCATTTTTATAGTGTCTATTGATTTTTCTCTCTTGTCTTCTTTATTAGTCTGGCTAGCAGTCTACTTTGTTAATTATTTCAAAAAAACCAGCTCCTGGATTCATTGATTTTTTGAATTTTTTTGTGTGTGTCTCTATCTCCTTCATTTCTGCTCTGATCTTAGTTATTTCTTGTCTTCTGCTAGCTTTTGAATTTGTTTTCTCTTGCTTCTCTAGTTGTTTTAATTGCGATATTAGAGTGTCGATTTTAGATCTTTCCTGCTTTCTCCTGTGGGCATTTAGTGCTATAAATTTCCCTTTAAACACTGCCTTAGCTGTACTCCTGCAGCTAGCTCAGTCTCTGCGCAAACAGCCGCCCAGTTTTGTGCTTGAAACCCAGGACCCCAGTAGCGTAGGCACCCAAGGGAATCTACTGTTCTGTGGTTTGCGAAATCCATGGGAAAAGCGTAGTATCTGGGCTGGAGTGCACTGTTCCTCATGGCTCAGTCCCTCATGGCTTCCCTTGGCTAGGGGAGGGAGTTGTCTGACCCCTTGCGCTTCCCGGGTGAGGCGATGCCCCACCCTGCTTCGGCTAGCCCTCCCTGGGCTGCACCCACTGTCTAACCAGTCCCTGTGAGATTAGTCGGGTATCTCAGTTAGAAATGCAGAAATCATCTGGCTTCTGCATTGATCTCAGTGGGAGCTGCAGACCGAAGCTGTTTCTATTCCACCATCTTTCCAGCCACCCACACTGATTTCTAAAGTAGTTGTTCCATATTATATTCCCTAGATAATCAAGAATTGTTATAAAGGGCTGGGCGTGGTAGCTCACGCCTGTAATCCCAGCACTTTGGGAGGCCGAGGTGGACGGATGACGAGGTCAGGAGATCAAGACCATCTTGGCTACCTTGTCAGGTATTTTGAAAAACTTTTAGCTTTTTAAACACATTCATGGTGATATATATCGATGAGTTTATTTTGTATTGCCCTGTTCAACAAGGTTGAACATCTTTTCATGGACTTATTAGTTATTTGTGTGTCTTCATTTGTGAAGTTTTTGCTCAGACACTTGGCCCATTTTTAAAACAAGTTGTTAATCTTTCTATTATGAAGACATTTACATATGTGTGTATATATGTATATATACTGGATAAAAATCTTTTGTCAGATACACGTATTACAGATGTTTTTTCTAATCTCCTGTGATTGTCTTTTTTTTCCATCAGGTTCTTTTGGAGAGTAAAACTTTAAAAATTTTGATGTAGTTCAATCTATCAACTTTGTGTTTTATAATTCATGTTTGGTGTCCTATCTTCCAAAAATACCTTCTTTAAAATTACAAAGTTTTTTTTCTTTTGAGACAGGGTCTCACTCTGTCACCCAGGCTGGAGTGCAGTGGTGCAATCTTGGCTCACTGCAACCTCCGCCTCCTGGTTCAAGCAATTCTCGTGCCTCAGACTCTCAAGTAGCTGAGATTACAAGTGTGTGCTGCTATGCTGGCTCATTTTCTTTCTGTCTGTCTTTTTTGTTTGTTTGTTTGTATTTTTAATAGAGATGGGATTTCAGTATGTTGGCCAGGCTGGTTTTGAACTCCTCACCTCAAATGATCCACCTGCCTTGGCCTCCTAATATGCTGGGATTACAGGCATGAGCCACCGCGCCCGGCCTAAAATTATAAAGGTATTTTTCTATGTGACCATTTAGAAAATGAATAGTTTTAGCTTCTATATTAATTAAGTCTGTGATCCTTATTGAGTTAATTTTTGAGTGTAGTATAAAGTGAGTGTTAATGATCATTCTTTTTCTATACAGATATATAGTTTTTAGTGTGATTTATTGAAAAGACATTATTTTCCCCCATTGATTTGCCTTAGCACCTTGTCAATATATGGGCTTACTATTCTTTTTCATTGATCTATGTGTTTATTTTTAACTAATACCATACCATACTGATTTCAGCAACTTTATAACGATTTTTTTTTGAGACGGAGTCTTGCTCTGTCGCCCAGGCTGGAGTGCAGTGGCACCATCTCGGCTCACTGCAAGCTCCGCCTCCTGGGTTCACGCCATTCTCCTGCCTCAGCCTCCTAAGTAGCTGGGACTATAGGCGCCCACCACCATGCCTGGCTAATTTTTTTGTATTTTTAGTAGAGACGGGGTTTCACCGTGGTAGCCAGGATGGTCTCGATCTCCTGACCTCGTGATCCGCCCACCTCGGCCTCCCAAAGTGCTGGGATTACAGGCATGAGCCACCACGCCGTGCCCTTTATAACAATTCTTGAAGTCAGGTAGTTTAATGCCTCTAATCTTTTGATTTTCTAGGCTTTGATTTTCCAAGTCTTCTGCATTTCCATATACACTTTAGAATTAGCTTGTTAATTCGTACTAAAAAGAAGCATGCTGGCATTTTTATTAGGATTGCATCAAATCTATAGATCATTTCTGAGAAAATAGAAGTCTTAATATTGAGTCATTTAATTCATAAACACAACATAGCTTCCCATTTTTTAGGTCTTTAATTTCTTTCAGTAACGTTACATGGCTTTCAGTGAGGCAGTCTTGTTCCTTTATTAAATTTATTACTAATTATTCACATTTTAAGTTTTGAATACAAAAATTACACTTCATGCTCCTTAAATTGTTTCAAATGTTGTAGAAATAACATTAAAATAAGAATTTCCTCTTTAATAGTGATTCCTAGAGGTTATCACTATTTTAATTTTGATATATATATATAGACAAAATTGCATATATTATTTCTTTTTTCCTTTTATTATGTGGTTGGATCTCAAGTGCAGAAGGTTGAGTTCATTACATTTATCAGTTCATGGCACCCTGTCCTCATTAATATGTGCACGATCTCTCTCATCTTACTTTATTTAAAACATTTCTTTCCTGTCTGTTTCTACTACCATTCCCCCTAAGGAAAACAATTATTATAAGTTTCATGTGTAACATTTTATGGGCTCTTAATTTCTATTAGTATTGTTGTTTTAGGATATTTTATTCTATAAAATAGTATTACATTATAATCTTATTCAGTTTCTTACTTTTTTTCACTCAGCACACTACTTTTAAGAGCTATCACGTTACAATGTCTACATCTAGCCCACTTTTTCTAAAAACTGCATTTTTTTGATGTTGTACATCCTCAACCTTCGCAAATCTGCTCTCCCGTTGATGGACATCTGGGTTGCTTCTAATTCCCCATTACCATAAATTATGCCAAACAACTGTTGTTATGGACCTGTGTAAGGATTTATTTAGGATATATACCTGGAAGCAAAATTGCTCAGGTCCAATATATGAGAGACTTAATTTGAATTTTTATACCCAGAATGTGCTCCAGAATGCTTCCATGAGGCTACACTCCTACCAGCGGGGCAGACGTGTTCCTGTCATTTCCTCACCTGTCCCAATTCTTGGCACTACCCTGCTTTCTAATACTTACTACTCAAATAGAATACAATGTTACCTCACTTTTAAACTTTGGAGAAATTTTAAACCTGTAAAAAATTTGTAAAAACAATACAGAGGCTTCTCTTTTTATCCCTCACCTTGTTTCCCTAATGTTACTATCTTAACAAAATCATAACACTTCTCTCTTTATAAAATAGCCTAAATAGCTTGAGGTGTTTTTTTATTTTTGTTTTTTCGCTTTTAACTTTTTGGAACACTTTTTGCTCATATCTCTCGATCTGCTTTCTTATGCCTGTGCTAGCGTATAATAAAACTATAATAATAATAATGACATGTAATAAGTACTACTTATGCCAAGGATTATTCTAGGCTTCAAAGGTATTATTGTGTTCAACATTTACAATAAATCTTGTGAGGCAAATAATATTGATATTCCTATTTTAAAGATAAGGAAATTAAGGCACAGGTCACTAATCAACTTATCTACAGTCACTAGCAAACTACTAGCTAACCTGGGACTCAAACTCAAGGCAGTTTGGCCCCCAAGTTTTCATTCTTTACCACTATGGTATTTTAAGGAAAAATTCGATATTATTTTATGAATATAGTTTTGCTTCTCTTTTTTTCAGTTGCAAAAGACCTAACGCATCTGATATATCAAAATATATCAGTCAACCATTATGCAGAAAAGGGTTAACTTTTCATGTCTGTGTTGCAGAACCCTGTATATTCCCAAGAAAGGCCTATATTCAGGACTGGCCCTTGGCAGGCTCCTGGAAGAGGAGCTCTAAGTTCTTTGAATATCCTGCCTAATAAAATGTTTTTTTTAAAATAATTTGTTTTATTGGGTCACAATATAAATTTGATCAGATAGATTATGCTAACAAGGTGATTTATGGTGCCTATTTTTGCTCTGGTGGGCTGGGGTCTGAGTAGCTGAGGTCAGTTACACAGGTGCCGTATGCCTACCTGACTGATCCCCCATAAAAACCTTCTACATCAAACTTGAGTGAACTTCCTGGTTGGCATTATTCTGCATGTGTTATCGTACCATTGATGGCACAATTAAGCACATCAATGTAACTCACTGGAAGAAAACACCTGGAAGCTTATTCCTGGTTTCTCCTAGACTCCCGGCACCTCATGCACTTTTTCCCTTTGTTCATTTTTAATATGATAACTTTTCAATACTAACAGGGACACAAATATGCACATAACACATTATGCCATGTCTTATATCTTTCTTGAGTTGACGTTCTATGAGATATATTATCACATCAACACATGAGTTAAAATTGTCCTATTATCCATACCTTTCAATGCTGTCCATGTTGTTAAATTATAGCAGCTTTCTATTTTGATTTATAAATGGACAGGAATATATCAGTAAGACACTACCAGAGTAGTGCAGTGAATATGCATGCATTCTTACATGTTTACAGAGAGAGATAGGAAAATAAAAGGAAAGGAATGGGATGGAAAGAAAAGGAAAGAAATAAATAAATGAAAGAAAAGAAAATGAAAGAATAAGAAAGGAAAGGGAAGGAATGCCAGCCTTTCCCTAAAGACACATGACACAACTTGAGACCAAAAGTCATAGCATTATAAACAGAATCCCTACGTTTATAACTCTTTCTGTTTGATTTTTACCCTCAGAAGGAAGATTACAAAAAACAATGCAACTGAAATTCATACTTCATAATAATGGTTAAAGCAATAACCATTAATAGTTCATAAGATTTGAGTCCAATAACTTTTAAAGGCATAATTCTTTATGAGCGTATTTTATTTCCCTTTATGCGCAGCTCTAGGCTCCTTTTCCTACTTCCCTGTTTCTAAAAGGTATCCACTATACATTTCTGAAAAATTATGTTTTTGCCTTTGACATCTAAAGCTTCCTGATATAATGTGAAATCATTCTTCAAAGTAGGTTTAGCAATTTACACCCTTACCAACCTTGTATATGAGCTCTCAGAGCTTTACATACTTATCCAACGAGTTACTACTCTAAGGATACTGACAGATACAGCACACTCTACTTTTAATTTGCTTTTTCTATCTTATTAGACATTTTTGTTTGTGTGTTTACTAGGCATTTGGATTTGTTTGCAGACTTTTGCTCATTTTCATTTTGGCCATTTTCTTTTTCTTATTTTTAAGGGAATTATGTGTCTCTTTAGAATACTAAACTGTGCCACTTAATAGAAGTGGCAGATATCCCTTTCCCTTCTGTAGCCTGATTTTTCATTCATTCTGTGGTTTCCTTTGATGTGAAGATGCTCTAATTTTAGATTGCAGAATTATTAAAATAAGTCTTTCTCTCTATGCTAAAGTCTTTTTTAGTTCTTTTGTTAAGGAATGTTTTCCACTCCCAAGGACATAAAGATAATCACTTTATAGGTACTTTAAAAAGTTTTAAAGTTTTGACTTTAATATTTCAATCTTTAATCCACCTGAAACTCATTTTTAGATACACTCATAGTGAGAAATATTTCAATCTATCTTTCTTTTCTTAATGTGGAAAACCAATTGCCCCAGTGCCATTTACTGACTTGCAATGTGTGTGTGTGTGTGTATGTATATATATATATATACATACACACACAGATCTCTTTGGTGTCCTCTCTTTTTGTCCACTCATCTACCTGTCTGTTCCTGTGCTAACACTGTACTGTCTTATTTCCTATACATTGTAAATCTTGCTATTAGAACAAATCTCTGAATTTTATTCCTGTTTTTTTTACTTTTTTTTGTTATCTTGCACTCTTCCCTCTTTGCATAAATGTGAGAATTGGTGCAATAAATTTTTTTATAAATTAAAAGTATCTTTTAATTAAAATTTCATTGACTCTATATGTTAGCAAAAAAATAAAGTTACTAAAGATAACTCCTCAACCATTATCAAGGTAAATATCCATGTTTATTTAGATCTTCTCTAATGTATTTCAGTAAAGTTTTATAATATTCTGTGTAAAGCTTTTCTATGTTCTATTAGATTTACATCTGGACATTATTACTTTGGTAGTTATCAAAATTATGTTTTCCAAACTACATTTTACTCTTTGTTGCTGGTATATAGAAATATACCAATTTGATACCTGGGCCAAGGGATTTGCTAAATTATCTCATTTTTCTAATGTTTTATCTGCAGATTCTTAGGGATTTTTTTTTTTTTCTTGAGACGGAGTCTCGCTCTGTGGCCCAGGCTGGAGTGCAGTGGCGCGATCTCAGCTCACTGCAAGCTCCACGTCCCGGGTTCACGCCATTCTCCTGCCTCAGCCTCCGGAGTAGCTGGGACCACAGGCGCCTGCCACCACGCCCGGCTAATTTTTTTGTATTTTTAGTAGAGACGAGGTTTCACTGTGTTAGCCAGGATGGTCTCGATCTCCTGACCTCGTAATCCACCCGCCTCGGCCTCCCAAAGTGCTGGGATTACAGGCATGAGCCACCGCGCCCGGCCAGGGATTTTTTTAAGTAGGGAAATATAGCTCCTATAATTAAGGAAAGTTTTTAAACTTCCATTCTAGTTCCTATGAATTTTCTTTATCTTAATGCACCAGCTAAAACAATCAAAACAGTGTGGAATTAAAGTGATAACAAGTGGCAGTCATGTCTTGTTCTCACTGAGTACATGTTTTGACCTAGGTTTTAGATGGACAACTGTTTCATTTATCTATTTTTGTATAAGGAGACATCCCAAAACAGTGACTTCAAACAATAACTATTTAACTTATTTACTTTAGCAGAGCTTGGTAAAGACAGCTTGCCACTGTTCCAATAAAGTTAGTATTAGGTTTTACCTAGAAGTCTAGCTAGAGCTGTTGGCTGGTCCTCCATATGGTTCTCCATATGACCTTTCTACATGGCTAGGTTGGGCTCCTCACAAAATGATGGCTAGGTTCCAAGGATAATCTGAAGAACCGGTGTTTGAAGAATATAAGCCACAGGTACAACCATTTATCAAGCCTCTGCTTAGATCTGTCACATTGGTCAAACTTATCACATGGCCAACTGTGGAGTAAGTCATTGTGAAACAAACGTGAGTACTGGGGGCATGGTTCCTTGAGCCCACTAAAGTACTGATCTACCCCAGGAGCCTTTATTAAATTGACAAAGTCCCTTCTTATTTCAGGTCTGCTAAACTTTTCATCATAAATATATGCTGACTTGTATGCAATGTTTCTTTTTCCTATGTCTATTAAGACCATCATACAGTTTTAATTCTTTTATTCATCATTTATTCATGTGAATTTATTGGAACTCCAACTGAAAATCCAGTAGTGATGAATTAGACAAAGTTTTCATATTCATGAAGTGCAATCTATAGTGGTAGAGAAACCACTAACAAATAAACATGTAAGCATGAACCGGGTTAGATGGCAACACACATTACAGAGCTAAAGAAAGCAAGGCAAGTGACATAGTGCAGGAAACAAACTATTTCATATTGTAAAGTTTTCACTAATAGCACCACATGTAAAAATAAAGCTTAAATACAGTTAGCTAATTGAGTATCTGAGGAAAAACATTCCAAGCAGAGAAACCAATGCAAAGTCCAGAGATAGGAGCATTCTTAGAATGTATAATTAATAGCAAGGAAGCCAGTATATTTTTTAAATTGTTCTTCATCATTACTAAATTATATTCACTATTTTTTCAAACCTATTGGCATAACGTTTCATAATTTATTCTTTTATCTTATCTTATTTTTGTGGTTACCTGAAGTTACATTTCCTTTCAATCCCTAATATTATTAATTTGTGCATTATCAGCTATTATTCTTAAAAGATTTTGCCAGAAATTTGACATTTAATATCTTTCCCTCTATTGTTCTTAATTTCAATAACTCTTGCTCTTATCGTAACACTGTATCATTTCTTCCACTTATTTTGAAATTTTTCCATTTGTATTTGTAATTTTTCACATTAGAGACTTAGCTAGTTAACATTTATTTTTTTCTTTTTTAATGTAAGTATTTATGGCTAAAATTATCATTAAAATCAGTTTAGCATATTTGTCATAAATTTGGTGATGTTTATATGTGATGTGATTCTTGATACTTGATTCTATGCCATAGTTCTAGTTAGTTATCATAGCTTTGTAAGTTTTGATATCCAGTGGTGTGACTTCTCCAACTTGGTTTTTCTTCATGTCATTGTGGCTTTTGGTTGCATGCATTTAGATATTAATAGAATCATTTTGTGAATTTCCATAAAGCCAAAAACCTGCTTGCATTTTACTGAGAATCACAATGAATTTAAACATAAATTTGGGAAGAATTGACTTCTTAGCAATATTGAAACTTCCACTTTATAAAAATGTAATATTCCTTGATTTATTTGTCTATTTAAAATTTTTTTAGTAATCGTTTGTAGTTTTCAATGTAGAGATTTTGCCAATATTTAATTAAATTTGTTCCTAAATATTGGGAGGCTTTTGATGCTACTAAAATTTTATGGCCTTTGTATTTTATTTAGTTTACTATTTAATTCTAATAGTTTAGGTATATTTCCTTTCCAGATCTTTATGTACCCAACCACATCATCTATTTTCAAATTTTATACCTTCTTTGTCATTTTCCTGGCTCTATTGGGCTACTGAGAAGAAATATTGACAGTAGTCATTCTTATCTTATTTCTTAACCTATAGTGGAAATTTAAAGTATTTCATCAAGTATGATATATACTGTAGCTTTTATGTAGAGTCTTTTCTTCAGATCAAACATTCCCTTTTCATCTGAGTATGCTCAGTAATTCAGCGATTTTATCTTTAGTAAATGTTAAATTTTTTCAAATGTTTTGCTGTATCTATTGGAATGGTTAAAGTTATTTTTCGTCTGTGTGTATGTCTGTGTGTGTGTGTGTATAATGTCTTCGTTTAATTTTGTTATCAAGTTGATACTGGCCTCATAAGACAAATTGGAAGTGTTTCTTCTTCCCTATTTCCTGGACAATTTTGTGTAATAAAATTTTATCTATCTATTTATTTATTTATTTTTAAACATTTTATTTTGACATAATTTCAAGGTTACATAGAGATTATCAGAATAGAACAAATAATACTCATATATCCTTTACCCAGATTCACAAATTATTAACATTTTTGCCCTAGTTGCTTTATCATTTACTCTTTTAATAAACATTTTTTTAACCTTTTGAACAATGTGTATTTCCTAAGAACAGACATTCTCTTGCATAACTAGTAAAATGACCAATAATAAAAAAATACCATTCATACAATAATATTATGTCATCCAGAGTCAATATTCAAATTTAATCCATTATCCAAATGATATCCTATATTGATTTTATTTCCTAGTCTAAAATTCAACTCAGGAATAAAAATTTCACTTAGTGGTCATGTCCTTTGAGGGTCTTTTAATCTGGATTAGCTCCTCAGTCTTTTCTCTTATAACGTTGGCAGCTTGGAGTTCCTGTTATTTTGTAGAATGTCACTCAGTTTGGGTCTGTCTGATATTTCCTCTGATTAGATCTAGGTCATAAATGTCATATAGGAAAATAGACATGAGATTGTCTTCTCAGCACATTACATCGGAAGGCACATGTTGATCTGTCCCATTACTGGTGATATTAGCTATAATCAGTTGGCTAAGATGGTTCTGCCAGGTTTCTCCATTATAAATTTACTATTTTCCCCTTAGTAATTTATAAGTAATTTGTGGAGAGGTACTTTGACAATACATAAATATTCTTTATTCCCCAAACTTTGACCTACTCATTTAAGTATTCACTGATAATTTTTGCTTAAATTTTTGCTTATAATTTTTATTATAATTGTAGCAAAATGGTGATTTTCTAAGTCTACCATCTCTTTCACATTTATTAGTTGATGTGCTACTTAAAGATATTAAATCCCCTTCTATTAAACAATTTTTTTAATTTATTTTTTATTTCAATAGGTTTTTGGGGAACAGATGGTGTTTGGTTACATGAATAAGGTCTTTAGTGGTGATTTTTGAGATTTTGGTAAACTCATCACCCAAGCAGTGTACACTGTACCCAATATGTAGTCTTTTATCCCTCACCCTGCTCCCACCCTTTCCCCTGAGTCCTCAAAATCCATTCTGTCATTCTTAGGCCTTTGCATCCTCATAGCTTAGCTCCCACTTATGAATGAGAACATGTGATGTTTGGTTTTCCATTCCTGAGTTACTGCACTTAGAATAATGGTCTCCAATTCCATCTCAGTTGCTGTGAATGCCATTATTTTGTTCCTTTTAATGGCTGAATAGTACTCCATGGTGTATACGTATACATCTCCCATATGTTCTTTATCCACTCATTGATTGATGGGCATTTGGACTGGTTACATATTTTTGCAGTTGCAAATTGTGCTGCTATAAACATGTGTGTGCAAGGAATCTTTTTCATATAATGACTTCTTTTCCTCTGGATAGATACCTAGTAGTGGGATTGCTGGATCAACTGGTAGTTCTACCTTTAGTTCTTTAAGGAATCTCCACATTGTTTTCCATAATGGTTATACTAGTTTACATTCCCACCAACAGTGTAAAAGTGTTCCCTTTTCACCACATCCACGCCAACATCTATTATTTTTTGAATTTTTGATTATGGCCATTCTTGCAAGAGTAACGTGGTATCACACTGTGGTTTTGATTTACATTTCCCTGATCATTAGTGATGTTGAGCATTTTTCCATATGCTTGTCGGCCATTTGTATATCTTCTTTTGAGAGTTGTCTATTCCTGTCCTTAGCCCAATTTTTGATAGGATTCTTTGTTTTCTTCTTGCTGATTTGTTTGGGTTCTTCGTAGATTCTGGATATTAGTCCTTTGTCAGATGTATAGATTGTGAATATTTTCTCCCACTCTGTAAGTTGTCTGTTAACTCTGCTGATTATTTCATTTGCTGTGCAGAAGCTTTTTAGTCCTATCTATTTATCCTTGTTTTTGTTGCATTTGCTTTTGGGTTCTTGGTCATGAAATCGTTGCCTAAGCCAATATCTAGAAGGGTTTTTCTGATGTCATGAGTTTTTATGGTTTCAGGTCTTAGATTTAAGTATTTGACTCATTTTCAGTTGATTTTTGTATAAGGTGAGAGATGATGATCCAGTTTCATTCTCCTATATGTGGCTTGCCAATTATCCCAGCACCATTTGTTGAACAGGGTGTCCTTTCCCCACTTCCTGTTTTTCTTTGCTTTGTCAAAGATCAGTTGGCTGTTAAGTATTTGGTTTTATTTTTGGGTTATTTATTCTGTTCCATTAGTCTATGTGCCTATTTTTAGACCAGTACTGTGCTGTTTTGGTGACTATGGCCTTACAGTATAGTTTGAAGTTGGATAATGTGATGCCTCCAGATTTGTTCTGTTTGCTGAGTCTTGCTTTGAATATGCAGGCTCTTTTTAGGTTCCATATCAATTTTAAAATTGTTTTTCTAATTCTGTGAAGAATGGTGGGGGTATTTTGATGGGAATTGCATTGAATCTGTAGATTGCTTTTGGCAGTATGGTCATTTTCAAAATATTGATTCTACCCATCCATGAGCATAGGATGTGTTCCCATTTGTTTGTCTTGTCTATGATTTCTTTGTAATAAAATTTTAAACAAAACATTAATGGACATAATATGTAGCACCATTAAGTGTCCATTTTTGAGTCACTCTGCTAAGCACTTTACAGAATTATTTATTCAATATGCTCATTTTACAGATGCAGAAAGATTAAGCGACTAAAGTCACCTCACAAAGGATAAATGGTAGCACTAGAATTAAACCCAAGCAATCTGACTGTAGTTGTTATGTACTTATATATGATACAGTATGCCTTCTATTATTAAGTATAAAAAATAACAAATGATAAATTCCTCATGTTGGCTAGACTGAGGGAGAACAATACTGGAAGCAATATAATATTTTACAATAATTTTAGAGAGGAATTTATCAATATTTAAATGCATACAGTTTTAGAAATAAACTTAAACTGAATAATCTTATATTCTTTAATTTTAAGGAAAAAACCAACTGCAGAAAATGCAATATTTATAAATACGCTTATGCTATCACTTAGTTGTTATGTTATTCATAATTAAGAAAAAATATTAATAGAGCTATTTAACCTGGTTTGTTGAATGTGATAATGATTACAGAAAACATTGACTAATGCTGCTTATAATAATGAAAAACTGGAAAAGTGACTGGTATACAATAGGCAATCAATAAATATTTGTTAAATAAATAAAGAAAATTTTTCTGCAAATTGTGAATTGTTATCTGAGCAGAATGCTATGTAGCCTTTAAAAAAATAATGTATATCCACATAGCTTCAGAGGAATTTTTGTAACAATTATATTATTATTAAAAATACTAAAATGTGTATACAAGATGGTGAGACAACTCCAAAATATAAAACAACATTATGGACTTACCTTTATTTCTAAGTACTTACAAAGTTGTTGCAAAAATTTTAATATACATATTAATGGATTTAGCTATCATATGAGATTTGCAGATATTGTTGCTAGATTTGTTTTTGAATATTTCAGTAGATATTTCTGATTGTTAGAGATCATAATTTATGACCAAAATAGCTGTTCTAAATCTAATTTTGACACAAAGGCTCAAATTTGTAGCATAAAAAAATGTTAAGTACTGACTTCTAGTTTTCCAGGAGGTCTGGCATTAGAGATCCATTAATTTTTAAAGGGTTAAATGTTCCTGTTTCTTTTTTGGAAATATGTGATTTAGAGTGCATTGATTCTCCAAGTTTGGCTCTTGGACTAGCAGCAGCAGTACCTGGGTGCTTGTTAGGCATTCAAATTCATGAGTGCCATTCCAGACCTACTGAATCAGAATTCATGAGTTTGAGGCTTAGACTTAGGTCCTTATGTTTTAACAAGATCTTCAGGCAACTCAAATGTCTGCTAAAATTTGAGAACCAATGCTAAGGATGACAAAACCCCATAACTTACTAAACTATTTCCCTTCTATATGAAAATTTTAAGGGCTCCAAATTCCAGGTGTTAGAAGAGTACGAAATTGAAATATTTTTATCATATAGTCCAGACTTCCAGTATGAAAGACGTAAAATAAAAAAAGTCCTGAATCTTCTAAGGAAACAATATGTTTAAAAGTATCTGAGAGTAGATTTGAGAGTTTTAAAAAAAACTGTTTTTAAAGACGTAAAGTAGAGCTATGAGCTCACCAAAGTCCACTGAAGTTCGCCAAAGAGCTGAGTTACTTCAGCTCTCATGAGACCAGTAATTTTTGCTTGACGAAGGTATTTGGCAAGAAAATAATTCCACAATAACACATTTAAAGATACCTAGAACATTGAAAAAAATTCTCAAATTAAGATAATATAGCTTAATTCCCAAGAACTTATTTCATCTCTTTTGTTACTAATCTAGAAGGTCAGGAGTGTGGTAAAGGCAGTGTCTGATAAGGTTATGAGCTTCCAAAGAGTTTCTACATTTTTAGTGCAGACACTCTCCCTTTGGGGGCAAAGTACGGTTTCTCCCATCCCTATTAAAAAGAAAACAGTTAAACTAAGTTATCAGAATGAGATATTTTGACTCTTAACAATTTACACTCAAGGCTTTATGCTGAGTTGTCTTGTTCTAATCAAGCATGAAGGTGTCAAGCACAAAGCACGTGGCAAACGAAAGACACTCCCGCCTCATTCTGAAAACAAATACTGATAACCAACCCCACCCTCTTACCATTTCAGGCCAACCCATCTTATGATACTGGGACCAACTTGAAATAATTTAGAGGTATATTTAGGTTTCCCTCTCCCTTACTTCAGTAAAAGATCATTTTAGAATAACTTTATTCCTTTCCTAAGGGAAAGACAAAAAAGTTTCCATCCCGTCAGAACATACGGGGAGAGAAAACACACAGGCCCAGAGGTGGGAAGGTGTGTGACAGTCCATAACCCATTACACAACGATGCAACCAAAGGCTAAACCATGAGTTGAATATAGTTTTAATATTAAAAATAGGAACTAGTTATCATCCAAATGAACCACTGGAAAAAATATTACCATTACTTTAAAAAATACATTCCAATATTGGAAATAATCTGAAAACACTTTCCAGTAGTAACAATCCTCCTTAATATGAGGGACAAAAAAAAAGACCAGGCTTTGACCAAGTCCTTAGAGCATATTTCCATTTCATGATTTATATTCAAGAACCAAGCAACAAGCTGGACAGCTGCCTCTGTAACACTGTGTCCAATAGTGGTGTCCCAGATAGTTTAAGTGCCACTCGTCATTAGATGTTATACTTCAGCAATACTTCCAATTTTAAGTCTGTACTTTAAGAGGGACCCACAGGAACTCAGCACCAGGCAGAGCAGTGTAAGACTGGAAAAGAAGACTGAACTTTTGATTGGTCACTCACATGTTTTTTAGCGAGATACAGAATTACATTTACACTCTTTCCTTGCATTTCTTCTATATTAATGATCCCTCTTGCAGGAGGTGTAGGAGAAAGAATGCTGCGTCAGTACAAGAACAAGACTTTTTGGTCAAAAGTTGATACCGTTTAAATTCCCTCTCCCAGCGCTTCATGCAAAAAAAAAAAAAGGTTACTTCCTGAATTAAGGTTTGTATTTAGTAACCAACATTGACTGGACAGAACATACGTGACTTGGATTCCAAATAAATGAGATTGCTCTTTTTTGGGTTTGTACTGTGCAGCTCTTGCCACAGTTGTTGAAGAGTTAGGGCTGTGTCTGATCAGGAGGCATCTGTAGGATTTTGATCTCCAAGGAATTGTGGGTGAGTCACATACACCTGGTGTATTACAGGTGGGCACCTGTAATCCCAGCTACTTGGGAGACTGAGACAGGGAGAATCTCTTGAACCCGGGAGGCGGAGGTTGCACTGAGCCAAGATCATGCCATTGCATTCCAGCCTGGGTGACACAGTGAGACTCTGTCTTGGGAAAAAAAATAGAAGTGGGCAGAGTCAAAAAAGCAACTTCAAATAATTAATCCCTTTGTCCATATGAGTTAAATACAAACGTGTATATTTTAGGTTTTTAAAAATCAATGCAATATGGGAATCAATTTTTTAAAAATTATTTTTTGCTTTTTTTTCTCCTCCCAGATGCCTTCTGATTGACCTAGTACACTGGGTTAAAAGGGAATTCAAAAACATTAAAAAAAAGTTCACTGGTTTTGATTCATCTCAGTCTTTTGGCCTGGAGATTAGGCCAAACATCAAGCATGTTGGGAGGGCAACAATTTAAAGCAACATTATTGACTGTAAAGCATTTGCCAGGAATTTACAGTACAAAATGACAGATAACAATTATTGTCATAACACAAGAGAATGGCAAGCAGCTTTGTGTGGTATGAAAGTTAAACAGTTCTCAGGGGTTGTCCATTCCTGCAAAAGTTTATGTATCAAGGTGGGCAGAAGGCAATACATTTACACACTACAGATGATCCATAGAAAATTAAGCTCCAGAACTCCTAACATCACCAAAGCTGGTACTGGCTAATACTATGAAATGCGAATCTGTGCTTTATGCATGTACTGCTCAACAATACTACCACTCAACAGAATCCCCACACTGCAAGGTAGATGCATGGTAGATTAATCTTTGCCCTCTTTTGGAGAGCTTGAAAAATTCCTTAAACTTTTAGAAAGGGTGAAGAAGCAAAATAAAAGAGCTTCTCAAAAAAAAAAAATCTTGAATTATCAATTTTTGACGCTTCGTTGCTCTCTCTGGTAAGCCTCCTCCAGGGGTACTAGATGAGACAGCGTGGGAGCAAACAGGACATCCCAGATTTCTGTGTCCCTTTCCTAACCAAGGGTACCATAGAAACCTGCTCTCTACAGCAAGAGGCCAAAGTGCTTTCTAGAATTTAGTGCTGAGTAAACTGAGCCCCTTCATCTTTAGCTGCTCCCATAATCACTCTAATCCCCTTAATCCCATCAACCTTTATCATATATATGTATATATACATATACACTTATTTACAAGGTTGATAAAAGTATACACACTCAATTTTCAACGCAACACACTCTGCCACAAAAGAAATAGGGTCAAGGTTCTGACATGTCTACAAGTCAAGTGCCATATTGTTACTGGAGACGTATGTAAACCAGTCTTTAGTGTTTGCTATAGAGCACAAAGGCTTGTCATAAGGCTCCTCCAATGATAGACTGCTTTTCCTTTGGGAGCATTGATGTTTTATCTACTCAGACCAGAATAAATTTTTACTTGGAATTATTATTATTTTGAGACGGAGTCTTGCTCTGTTGCCCAGGCTGGAGTGCAATGGCACGATCTCAGTTCACCGCAATTTCCGCCTCCCAGGTTCAAGCAATTCTCTTGCCCCAGCCTCCCAAGTAGCTGGGATTACAGGCACCTGCCACCACGCCTGGCTAATTTTTTTGTATTCTTAGTAAAGACAGGGTTTCACTGTGTTGGTCAGGCTGGTCTCAAGATCCTGACCTCAGATAATCTATCTGCCTCGGCCTCCCAAAGTGCTGGGATTACAGGCGTGAGCCACCATGCCCTGTTGGGATTTTTTTAATACATGTGTTTACAGTGTGGATGAACTGCAGCTGCATATCAACTCCTCCAATATAAAGAAAAAGAAAATGGTATTTAACTGACTAATAAGTTTCATCTACCAGCTCTGGGCTTCAGTATTGGGTAGAAAGAAAACAGAGACTTCACCCTAAAACCAAAATTAAAAGACAAAAATTTTTTAAAGAATAAAGGAAAGAAAGAGTACTACTGTTGATTCTTTGGTCTGTGTCTAAAAGATGATATTCTGAATAACTCAGAGCATACAGCACTTCACACAAATGAGTAATAAGCTCCTCAGGCTTAAAAAAAAAATGGATGACTAGGGAGAAGTTGAAATGTCCTCGAGAGTCAGATGTTGGAGAATTTTGAAATAATAGACAAGCTTTTGTGTTCATTAAGATTCTTCTCTTTTTAGGGTTTCTCCCCTTCTTTCTTTTCCTTTCCTGTCCCCTTTCCCCAGAAAACATTTTTTTAAAACCAGCAGTTAGTGCAACTAATGTTCACTTAGCATACAGTGCAAACAGATGGAACAAAAAAAAAGGAATATTCCTTCTTTTCAGCTTTTTTCTCTTCACCAGTTAAAAAAGGAAAAAAAAAATTCTGAACTCTTTTAAGTCTTCATAGTTCTGAAATAAAAGATGAAAAACTCACAAAGAGAAGAGCACTCCTCTCTAAAAAATGGTATGTCATAGATCCAAACAAGGCTTCCACAGTTTGTCAAAGAGTGCTTATTAAGGCTTCTCATTTTCTACAGCCTTGCTGTGGAATTCTGCCACATGCAGGCTCTTGTCAATGTTGCTTGGAATAGGTTTTATTTCTTTTCCCAGCTGCTCCTCAATACCTTTCAGGTTGAAGTGATCGCCATATGTGATCAAGTTGATGGCTAAGCCAAAATGGCCAAAGTGACCTGGTCTTCCAATATGACGGAGATAGGTCTCTTCTAGCTTTGAAAAGTCAAAGTTTATTACCACATTCACAGCTTGTATATCAATACCTCAAGTAAACAGATCAGTGCAAATGAGAATAAGCCATTTCAGAAATAATAAAATACACAATTTTGATGTTCCTGCCTCATTTTAGCATGAATGTAGAAACAAAAATAACCCAGTTGAGAAATTTTGGCTGGCCATTCAACTCGCTGAGAGCAGTTAAAGAAAATGATCATCTGGTTTAGCTGAAGCCTGGAGAAAAGTGTGGTGAGGCCGTGTACTTTTTGGTGCTCAGTTACATATGCGTAGTACTGGGTTATGTCCTTCAGAGTTAGTTTTTCCATCAGGTTAGTCTCAGGGTTTCTGCAAATGGGAATTCATGAACTTCTGTATACTAAGAGGGAAAGTAGCAGAATGTAGTAAAATCTGCCTGTCTTCAGGTAGCATGAGAATAATATCTTCCATTAACTGCCCAAAATCCTGGGACAGAAACTTATCTGCCTCATCCAATACTATCACCTGGACATGACTGACCTTTGCTACTCCTTTCTTAATAAGATTCAGGATTCTCCCAGGGGCAGCAATCACCATGTGCACTGTATCATCCAGCCTCAGTACGTCATCTCCTGAATTGGTTCCTCCTGTGGTCATCACCACTTTGACTCCTCCCATGTGTTTGCTGACCTGGATGCAAATTTGACTGACCTGTAGAGCAGGTCCTCCTGTGGGAACAATCACTATTGTTTGTATAGTGTCCTTCTTCAGGTCTAGCCTTTTAAGTAGGGGAATGTCATGGGCACTGCTCTTGCCTGTTCCATTTTTTGCTCTAGCTAAGATATCCCTACCAGATAAAGCAATGGGAATGCTCTCTTCTTGGAAAGGAGATGGCTTTTTCCATCCCATTTCAAAAATTCTCATCAGTAACTGCCGTTTCAAACAGTAATCTTCAAATTAATATCCTCTTGTAGAGGTCACATCCAACATTTTGATTCTTAGATCCTTTGGAAGGAGTTTTAAAGTCTTCTTCCAATTATCACCAGGCTTAATAGTGGTGGTCATACTCTGCGCTTGTGGTTGAGTGCTATTATTGTGTTGGTGTTTTTCAGCTGGTTCGTCTGTTGCTGTGTCTGTGTGGCCTCTCCTCTAGGGCCACCACTGGGTTTCAGGGGACCCCTCAGCTGACCATTTTGACTGGACAGACCCATTATAACAGCGTTCTCTGTTCTGGTTGTGCTCATGCTGTGTTAATTGCAAAGGTGTCTTTCAAACTTCAAAACGTTTGAAAGTCAATAGAGAAACTGTAATAATAGTTTATTAGGCTGTCCAAAGTGAAGAGATAAATATAGGTCTTGCTCAATAATTAAGTTCTTTTATTATAATGCAGGCAAGCACCCGTAAGTCTCTGAATGGTAAGCAGCAGTAACTTACTTTCTTGTACTGTATCAACTTTTAATTTTTAAAAGGCCCTCTTACCAGCTTCAATTATAGCTGAATTCACTTACTTCAATCACTGAGGCCACTCCTGTGCTGGACACTCTTGGTCCTTTATTGTTGACTGGAAACTCCCAAAATATTGCCACTCTTTCCTCTTTGGATACCTCAACCTGCACCTCCAGATATAATTTCTAAGATCAATTACTGAGACACACAAAGAAATCTGGTGAGATTTTACGTGGTTTAGAATAAAGTCCAAAGAGGCTGTTTGATATAGTGGTTTTTCCTACTTCTTTCTAGAACTCACAGATGAAAAAGAAAAATGCAGAAATATGAGACTCATTACCAAGTGACTCGTCAACACTCATATACTGATGTGTATTTTGTTTTGTTTGTTTAAAGACAGTCTTGCTATGTTGCCCAGGCTGGAGTGCCGTGGTGATTCACAGGTGTGATCATGGTTCACTATAGCCTCAGGCTCCTGGGCTCATCCTCCCACCTCAGCATACTGAGGAGCTAGGACTGCTGGCATGTGCCATCATACCCAGTTAAATTATATGTATTTTAATTAGGGTAGAACCCTTAGTTATTTCCAAAGCTATTTCTTATACTGTATTTAAAACTTAAACTTAATTCTAAAGAAAAGATAATGAATAAATGAATCCCTTTTTTTTGTTGAGATGGAGTCTCACTCTGTCACCAGCCTAGAGTGCAGTGGTGCAATCTCAGCTCACTGCAGCCTCTGCCTCCCGGGTTCAAGTGATTCTCCTGCCTCAGCCTCCTGAGTAGCTGGGACTACAGGACCGCGCACCACCACACCCAGCTAATTTTTGAATTTTTAGTAGAGATGTGTTTCACCATGTTGGCCAGGATGGTCTCTATCTCCTGACCTTGTGATCTGTCTGCCTCAGCCTCCCAACATGCTGGGATTACAGGCGTGAGCCACCGCACCCGGCCATAACTTATTTTTAATATCTCTTGACTGCAGCTGCTACCACAATTTGCATCTTCAAAATGGTTATGGAGGTTCAAGATGGCTGACTGGAAGCAGCTAGAGTATGCTACTCTCAAAGAGAGGAAAGAAAGTGGCAAGTAAATAGTAGCTCTTCAGGTGAATTCTCTAAGAGAGCATGTCAAGATTCACCAAGGAAGTGAGGGGGCTCACGAAGACCTCAGCACATTTTATCAGGAGCTTCTCCTAGCCACACCCATCAGGGCTGGTGCCTGCACCTGTCATTGAGATATTCGTGGGAAAGCCACGTTTCCAGCTCTGCCCAGGTATATCCCACCACCCTCACAAATTAGGAAGCTCAGAACACTGGACACCCACCCCACTGTCCAGTCCTTCACCTGAAACAACAGAGAGCACCTCACAGTAAATAAAGGTCAGCTCCCCTCCCACCTACTTGTGTGGCAGCTGACTCTTACCTGCAAATGCCATATCCTGAGTCATAGGTCAAACCACACAGCCCAACACAAAACCTGCTGACAGAAGTGCATAGGACTATAGAAACAACCCCAAAGACCCTACCTAGTACAACACTCTCCAGATGAGAAGGAACCAGCACAAGAATTCTGCCACCATTAAAAATCTGAATGGAATGACATCATCAAAGGCTGACTCTAGGTTTCCAGCAATGGTTCTTAACCAAAATGGAGGCAGGAGGATGACAGAGGAGGAATTCAAAGTATGGATTACAGGGAAACTCAATGAGATCCAAAATAAGGTTAAAAATCAGTACAAAGAAACCTGTAAAGCAATCCAGGAAATAAAAGAAGATGCAAACATCTTAAAAAGAAATCATTCAGAGCAATGAAAACTATAAAACTCACTTAAGGAATTTCAAAATACAATTGAATGCTTTCCCAATAGACTAGACCAAACAGAAGAAAGAATTTCAGAGTTTGAAGATTGGTCTTTCAAACTTACCCAGTCAGACAAAAACAAAGAAAAAAGAAATTTAAAAATTCTTAAAATTCTTGGCACAAAGTCTCCAAGACACATGGGTTGTGTAAAATGGCAAAACCTGTGAATGACTGGCATTAATGAGAGAGAAAAAGAAAAAGTAAAAAACATGGAAAACATATTTGAGGGAATAATTTGAGAAATTTTCCTTTATCTTGCTAGGGAAGTAGACATACAGATATAATAAATCCAGAGAAGACCTGCCAGATCCTATATAAAATAAACATCACCAAGGTATATAGTGACCAGAATGCCCAAGGTCAATGCTAAAGAAAAAACTTTAAAGGCAGCTAGAAAAAAAGGTTAGATCCCATACAAAGGGAATCCCATCAGGCTAACAGCAAACAGAGGAAACATTATAAACTTATTGGGGGCCTTCTCAGCAGAAATCTTATGGGGGACTTACATTCAGCATTTTTTAAGGAAGAGACTCCAACCAAGAATTTCATACAACACCAAACCAAGCTTCATAAGTTAACAAGAACTAAAATATTTTTCAGATAAGCAATAGCTAAGGGAAGTCATTACCACTAAACCAGCCTTACAAGAGATCCATAATGGATTTCTAAACATGGAAAGAATAATAACTGCTACTACAAAAACACACTTAACTACATAGTCCACAGACCCTATATGGCAACCACACAATAGAAACTACAAAGCAACCAGCTAACAACTTTACGATATGATCAAAATCTCACATATTAATATTAACCTTGAATGTGAATGGTCTTAACACCCTACTTCAAAGGCACAGAGTGGCAAGTTGGATAAAAAACAAGACTCACCCATCTGCTGTCTTCAAGAGACCCATCTTACACGTGATGACACTGATAGACTCAAGGTAAAGGGTAGGAGAAAGATCTATCACCCAAACAGAAGACAAAAAAGAGCAGGGGTTACAATTATTATTTCAGATAAAATAGACTTTAAAACAACAGTAGTCAAAAAAGGATAAAGAAGGGCTCTATGCAATGATAAAGGGTTTGATCCAACCACATGGCTTAACTATCCTGAATATATATGCAAATAAAATTGGAGCACCTAGATTCATAAAACAAGTACTGCTAGACCTACAAAAATACTTAGCCACACCATGGGAGTGGGTGACTTCAACATCCCATTGACAGAGTTAGATCATCAAGGCAGAAAACTAACAAAGAAATCCTGGAGTTAAATTCGACATTTGACCAATTGGACATAATAGACATCTACAGAACACTCCACCCAGCAACCATAGGATATACATTCTTCTCATTTGCATATGGAACATATGCTAAGATTGACCACATGCTTGGACATCAGGCAAGTCTCAATAAAGTTAAAAAATTCAAAATCATACAAACTATACTTTGGGCCATGGTGGAATAAAAATACAAATCAATACCGGTAAGTTCTCTCAAAACCACAAAATTACATGGAAATTAAATAACTTTATTCTGAGTAACTTTTGGGTAAACAATAAAATTAAGGCAAAAATTTAGAAAATTATTTAAAATAAATAAAAACAGAGATACAATATTTTATTTTTTATTTTTACTTTTTTATATACATATTTTATTATACTTTAAGTTCTAGGGTACATGTGCACAACGTGCAAGTTTGCTACATATGTATACATGTGCCATGTTGGTGTGCTGCACCCATTAACTCGTCATTTACATTAGGTATATCTCCTAATGCTATCCCTGCCTCCTCCGCCCACCCCACGACAGGCCCCGGTGTGTGATGTTCCCCTTGCTGTGTCCAAGTGTTCTCATTGTTCAATTCCCACCTATGAGTGAGAACATGTGGTGTTTGGTTTTTTTGTCCTTGCAATAGTTTGCTGAGAATGATGGTTTCCAGCTTCATCCATGTCCCTACAAAGGACATGAACTCATCATTTTTTATGGCTGCATAGTATTCCTTTGTATATAAATGCCACATTTTCTTAATCCAGTCTATCACTGATGGACATTTGGGTTGGTTCCAAGTCTTTGCTATTGTGAGTAGTGCTGCTATAAACATACGTGTGCATGGAGACACAATATTTTAAAATCTCTGGAATACAGCTAAAGCAGTGTTAGGAAAGCTTACATCACTAAATACCTACATCAAAAAATTAGAAAGATCTCAAATTAACAATCTAACATCACACCTAGAGAACTAGAAAAACAAGAACTAGTCCCAAAGCTAGAAGACAATAAATAACCAAAATTCATTAGAGAACTGAATGAAATTGAGACTCAAAAATACATGCAAAGTAATAACCGAAAGCTGGTTCTTGTCAACCAGATCAATAGGACACCAGCTAAATTAACAACAAAGAAAGAGAAGATCTAAATAAGTGCAATCAGAAATGGCAAAAGTGAAATAACAACCAATCCCACGGATATATAAAAAATCCTCAGAGACTATTATGAACACCACTATGCACACAAACTAGAAACTCTAGAGGAAATGAATAAATTCCTGGAAGGTCACAACACCCCAAGATTGAGCCAGGAAGAAATCAAAACCCTGGAGAGATCAATATAGAGTTCTGAAATTGAAAAACAAACCTACCAAATAAAAAGGGCCCTGAAACAGGTGGATTCATAGCCAAATTCTACCAGATGTACAAAGAAAAGCTGGTACCAATCCTACTGAAATATTTTTTAAAAATGGGGAAGAGGACTCCTCCCTAACTCATTCTACGAAGCCAGCATCACTCTGATACCAAAATCTAGTAAAGACACAACAACAAAAGAGAAAATTACAGACAAATATCCCTGATGAACATAGATGCAAAATTTCTCAATAAAATACTAGCAGATGGAATCCAGCAGCACATCAAAAAGCTAATTCACCACTATCATGCAGGCTTCACTACCAGTACGCAAGGTTGGTTCAACATATGCAAATCAATAAACATGACTTGCCGCATAAACAATTAAAAACAAAACCATTTAATCATCTCAATGAATGCAGAAAAAATGTTTTGATAAAATCCAACATCCCTTCATGAAAAAAATCCTCAACATACTAGGCATGGAAGAAACATACCTCAAGATAATAAGAGCCCACTATGACAAACCCACAGCCAACATTATACTGAATTGGCAAAAGCTGGAAGTGTTACACTTAAGAACTGGAACAGGCCAAGGATGCCAACTCTCACCATTCCTATTCAACATAGTGCTGGAAATCCTAGTCAGAACAATCAGGCAAGAGAAAGAAATAAAAAGCAACAAAATAGGAAAAGAGGAAGTCAAATTATCTCCTTGCTGACAATACGATTCTATACCTAGAAAACCTTAATGACTTTGCCAAAAGGCTTGTAGAGCTGATAAAAACTTCAGTAAAGTTTCAGGATACAAAATCAATGTACAAATCAGTAGTATTTCTATATACCAATAACATTGAAGCTGAATGCCAAATCAATAATACAATCCGATTCACAATAGCCACAAAAAGAATAAAGTATGTTGGAATCCACGTAACCAAAGCAGTGAATGATTTCTTTGAGGAAAACTACAAAATACTGAAGAAAGAAATCATAGAGGATACAAATAAATGGGGAAAAAAACCCATGCTCATGGATTGGAAGAATTTATATTGTTAAAATGACCATACTCTCCAAAGCAATCTACACGTTCAATGCTATTCCTATCAAACTACCAATATTGTTTTTCACAGAATTAGAAAAAATATTCTAAACTTCATTTGAAATCAAGAAAGAGCCCAAATAGCAAAAGCAATACTAAGCAAAAAGAAAAATACTGGAGGCATCATACTACCCAACTTCAAACTATATTACAAGGCTACATTAACCAAAACAACATGATAGTGGTACAAAAACAGACACATAGGCCAAATGGGAGTCTCTTAGCAACTACTTTACTAATATTAATTTGCTTATATTTTGAAAAAGAGTATGGACCATGTCACTAAGCTGTTATGAGTTACATAACTGGCATGTGAAGTTGGTTGGTGGAGAGGAGAGACTGTGCTTCTATGGAATACAACCTCAGACTGCACTCTGATCCTAATCTCTGTCATGGCCCTATCAATCACGAGCCATCTCCGAGACTCATTCTGGCCAGACATTTAAAATACATTTTTCAATGGAAGTATTCAAACTACAGTAAAATAGGAGAATCAGGTGGAATAGTGGAACCAACTGCTTATAAATTTACTGTACACATAAAAATCATCTCTTCAAATCACCATGCCACCTCTTACTAAATGTGACTAAAGGTTTCCAGAAGCTAGGGAAAGTTCTTTAGCCTTTCTGTGGCTTTGTTTCACCATATTTAAAAAGCCCCACACATGAAGAATTATGCAGCCCAAAATGTCAATTGTTCTTCTGTTGAGAAACCCTGAACTAGGTGCACTGTGACTTAAGAAAACTACTCCAACGCAAAGACAGATAAATGTGTTCATATAATTTTTAACTTCCAAGTTTAGGGATATTACAGCCAACATGGAAGTAAGGATAAGTTGTTGGTTAAAGAGAAGTTGTTGATCATTCATTCTATATTAGATGTAAAGAAATGAAAAATAAGGAGTGGGAAAGGCTACCCATTCACTCTGCCTATTGAAATCAGGCTTCCACCTGTATCTCTGTACCAGAACTTTTCTGGTCAGGGGCAATAATAACTTCCTTGCATTTAGCAACAGTTTCATGAGTGGACCTAATTTTTAACAATACTTTAAATATTTGAACTTGATTATAGACTGAAGTAAGATAGAAGAGTGGTTGGAAATACAGAGAATGGCATTAGATGAACTTATCTAATGCTTTATGTTTCTTCTGTGGAACAGAAGGTGAGACTGTCTGCCAAGCATGAAGGGAGTGTGGGTAAATTAATGAAGGAAAGATGAATGTTTAAAACAGTTCCTGAAGGAAATAGGAGATGGCAGTAACCATAACAAATAAAGTAAGAGAAAAGTAAGATTGCTATTAATTTTAAACAACATCAGAGTGTGTGAGTGTGGAGTTTTCTCCAGATTTTCTGAACCGTATGTATAGAAAATACTGGATGCTGTTTTGGAGTATTCCCTGGAGATGTGGCTAGAGGATAAATGTGTTATGAAGTTGGAAGTCCCAGAAATAAATTGCAAATTTTTTTCCTCTGGCTTACTGTTCTAGCCCTTTACAGACATAGAGGTCTGGCTCTATAGGGACATAAGTACAGTTACAAGGAACTGAAAGACTTACGGAAAGTGGGCAGTTAAGAAACTGAAAGTATCTTTGAAGCCAAAGAAATGAAAAAGATGTAGAGAAAAAAGACACATATCATATGATTTTACTTGTATTATTACATTAGGGAAAAGAAAAAAACTATAAAGATGGAAACAAATTTATGGTTACCAGAAGCTGGAGTCCGTGATGTGTTGTTTATAAAAAGGAATGGGAGGATTTGGGAGGTGACAGAATTGTTTTATATCTTGCCTGTGTCTATAGTTGCATGATTATATGTGTTTGCAAAAAGTCAAGTAATTATATGCTAAAAAAGAGAGTGTTAACTGTCTATAAATTATACATTTATAAAATAAATTGGAATGAGAGAAGTAATGGGAGAATGGCAAAGAGCATACTCCAATACCAAACAAAAGACTATGAAGGTGGGATATAGTCTTAGAGTAGACATGTAGGTAATCTTCATGATGTGATCATAACATCTGCACTACCTTTGTAACTTTCATATTAACTGTTGCACTTACTACATTGTATTCTAATTATCTGGTGTATGTGTTTCTCTCTTTATAAGGTGAATGATTTGAAGGTGGGGAATTGAGACTTGACCTGATACACAATTGAATTTTTGATATCTGGATTATGCCACAATGTCTTGTATTAGGTTGATGATCAACAATAATTTTAAAAAGAATAAAAAAGGAGTGGAGGTCAAGGAGGTCTGAGGTTAGTGTGGGGAGGCAAGATAATCTACCTAATATTGATTGTGGCAGCATGATGGTCAGTGGGAAGGTTGCATCATCAACATAGATGCCTGGGTGATGGCCATATTTGATACTGGAGAGAAGAAACTGGTATGGGCACCCAATATGCAGTTAGGAACATGCCTGGAAAATAAGCATATGAGCAAAATAAGAAGATGTAGAGAATTTTTGTGGTAAGAAAATGACCTCAAAGTGCAAGATATTTTATATGAAAGAGAAGAAGTAACAGTCAGAAAAAAAATAAGAAACTTAGAGAATACAGACCTTGATCCTACCCACCTCCTCAAACTGTGAGAGAAGGAGCAGCTTTGAATTGAAGAATAAGAGAAATAGCTTTTGGGAGAAGAACCAAATGTCAATGACAACACAGAAATATCAGGAGTAGGTAGTGGTATTGGAGAGCTTTTTCATAGTAGTGCTAGGGTTCTAAGGAATTTTATTAGTGAGCAAAGAATTCAAAAAGAAACATTCCAAAATGTAAGAATGACAGCATGGGCCGGGCGCAGTGGCTCACGCCTGTAATCCCAGCACTTTGGGAGGCCGAGGCGGGCGGATCACGAGGTCAGGAGATCGAGACCATCCCGGCTAAAACGGTGAAACCCCGTCTCTACTAAAAATACAAAAAATTAGCCGGGCGTAATGGCGGGCGCCTGTAGTCCCAGCTACCTGGGAGGCTGAGGCAGGAGAATGGTGTGAACCCGGGAGGCGGAGCTTGCAGTGAGCCGAGATGGTGCCACTGCACTCCAGCCTGGGCGACAGAGCGAGACTCCGTCTCAAAAAAAAAAAAAAAAAGAATGACAGCATGGGATAGGAAAAGGTGGGATGACCTAAGTTAAAGAAAAGAAATTAACAATATGTTGCTTGAATTTATTTTTCTAGCGATAGAACTTTTGCAAATGAAAACACTTCTTCACCATGCACTTATGTACCTTTTGGTCCTAGAGAAGAAATAATTTATTTTCAAAGATGTGCTAACCTTGTGGGTTAATTGTTATTTAAATAACAACTATTTACTCATGAGAGAGAGTGACTTGCATGACATAAAAAATTTCATAATTATTTTTGTAAGTAAGAGAAACATACAGTTTCACTTTGCTTTACAAAACAGTCTTTTGGGTAACAGTGTATAAATTACTTATACTCCAAATCACGGTTGCCACACACAACAATAACATTATTTAAAACAACTTTTTTGTAAATCATTTTGTAAAATGGAAAAAAAAGAACATGTTTGCATTAGGTGCTTCCTGCAGATAATAAAAACAAAATGGAATTTATTTTTCCCTCAGATGTGTTTGACATGTGATAAAGGTAATTCTCACATAAGAAATATTGTAGAGTGCTTACAAAGAATATATAAATCATAAGAATAAATCAAACACAAGTCACTAGAACTTGTATTGCCATATTAATATAATTATTCCAAAATAAAAGTTAATCTATAGTTTCCTAAAAAAGATGACCTTTGAAAAGGACAAAAGAGAAATATTACAGCTACGTGAACTGGCATTTTGAATGTTGATATGGTTTGGTTCTGTTTCCCCACCCACATCTTACAACTCGAATTGTAATCCCCAAGTGTCGAGGGACGGAGGTGATTGGATCATGGGGGTGGTTTCCCCCATGCTGTTCTCATGATAGTGAGTGAGTTCTCAAGAGCTCTGATGGCTTTATTAGTGTTTGGAAGTTCCTCCTTCACTCTTCTCTCTCCTGCCACCATGTGAAGAAGGTTCTTGTTTCCCCTTCACTTTCTGCTATAATTGTAAGTTTCCTGAGGCATCCCCAGCCATGCAGAACTGTGAGTCAATTAAGCCTCTTTCTTTTATAATTACCCACTCTCAGGTAGTATTCTTTATAGCAATGTGAAAACGGACTAATACAAATGTCTTACCCCAAATTAAGTTTGATTATTTTTTCTTTTTTTAAAAAAACAGCTTTATTGGGAGTATAATATACAAAGAATTGCACATACTTAATATGTACAAGTTGATGAGCTTTGACATATACAAATATCCATGATACCATTACCACAATCAAGGTAATAGACGTATCTATCACCTTCCAAAGTTCCGTTGCATCCCTTTGCTTTTTTTTTTTGTTTTTTTTTTATAAGAACACAACATGAGATTTACCCTCTTAGCAAATTTTGAAGTGCACAATACCTATAGCCACTATGTTGCACAGTAGAGCTCTTATTCATCTAGCATAACTGAAACTGTATACTCATTGGAAAACAATTTCCCTATCTCCATTTCCCCCATCCCCTACCCTTGGCAATAACTTTCATTCTCTACTTCTAGAGGCTAAATGTTACAGGTCCTCACATAAGTGGACTCATGGAGTATTAGTCTTTCTGAGAGGCTTATTTCACTGAGCATAGTGCTCTCCAGGTTCATCCATGTTGTTGCAAATGGAATAAACTTTTTATTTTTAAAGGATGATTTTGCATTTTCAAACTAAAAAATTGGAATACCTCTCACTCTATTTGTTTGAAAATAGGCAGGATACATAGGTCCACAATCATGCTCACTGTACTCATAACCCCACCTTTTTACCAGCTATCTATTGTCGTTTGATTTCAATTAACAGTTAGATTTGAGTGAGGCTTGAATAGGATGATCATGAGAATGGTTCTAGCATGTGAGTCTGAGTAGCTATCAAGGTTTCCAATTACCTTGAAGCAGGACTTAACTCTCGGTCATATCACTTTTGTGTACGTATATAAAAACACAAATACATAAATAAAAATCAATGAGACTTATTTCATGGAGTTTTTTTTTTTTTTTTTTTTTGCTGTAGAATAGTAATATATTTGTTTATGTCATGAAGTACACACCAGGAGATTGGTAATGGAAAACAACTGGTAAATTAGATATTAAAATTTTGATATATCATTTCAAAACCAAACCAGATTAAAATTTAAAAAGCATATAATTTTCATTTGAATTAAATGACATTATCTGCAATTTTCAACAAGATAAAAGTATACATCCTCTGCCCAACTAGTAACATGAGAATATCCTTGCATAATGTACCTCTGCCCCATATAATATTTTACTTAGTTATGTATGCAGTCTAGTATCATTGAGCAGATGATACTTTCATGCATTTTAGAAAATAAAACATATGAAAGCTATACGATGGAATATTTTTCTCATATTGATGTGGCAAACATTTATTTACCACATCAATTCATTTCCTCCAAATAAAAACTGATACTAGTTTCTTGATACAGAAAAAGCAGAGGACTTGGATAGAGGGAATAACAGTCACTAATTTGACTGTACCTGTATTAGTCCATTCTCACACTGCTATGAAGAAAAATACCCCAGGCTGGATAATTTATAAAGAAAAGAGGTCTAATGAACGCATGGTTCTGCATTGCTGGAGAGGCCTCAGGAAACTTACAATCGTGGCAGAAGGTGAGGGAGAAGCAAAGACACGTCTTACAGGGTGGCAGGCAAGAGAGCTTGTGCAAGTGTAGAAAAAACTACCAGTCATAAAAACATCAGATCTTGTGAGAATCCACTCACTGTCATGAGAACAGAATGGGGAAACCACCCCCATAATCCAATCACTTCCCACCAGGTCTCTTCCACAACACCTGGGGATTACAATTCAATGTGGATTTGAGTGGGGACACAAAGCCTAACAATATTAGTACCAAATGCAATCCTAGATGAACTCCTAGAGCAGGAAATTTTAAATATAAGTTTTGAATGGAAAGACAGCTGTAGAGGAAGAATATGATTTCTTAAAGAACTATTATAAGTGTCCTGTTCTTGTCTAAAGTAATTCTTCCCTAACACAGAATCTCACTTCCTATAGGTTCTTAAGCATGATGATACATGTTTTGTGGCTGAAATAACCTAATGAAATATTCCAATACACAATTTTATTACATATATATGTTACTAATTTGTACATAGCTTTATAAGTATATATACAAGTATACATAAGTTTATAATATGCATCTAGCTTTTCAAAACTACATGAAAAGAATCTATGAAAGATATAGTAACAAAAATCAAACATAAGGCTATGTATACAACAGTAAATTGAATTCATAGATGACAAATTTATACTATAATTCACAAATAGCAATAAATAGTAGAAAAGCATGATCTCATATTATAAAACTGAACAAAATTAATTTTAAATGCTACAACATAAATATCAAGTGGAAAAAAGCTTCCGTTTTACAAGATGAGGCACATTCTTTACAGTTGTATGTTACTTGGATTAGTATTTTAATTTGTAATTTAAATAGAACTTTCAATATGGTAGACTACTGTAATGATGATCCAGTATATCAGAATAGTGAATTAAATAAAACAAGAGAATAAGTGAATGGGTGGCTATGTGAATATATACTGTACATACATAGTCCCCAGGGTGAATGAGAACTGGAACTTTGCTAATACCAACTCTCTCCCTTGCCTCTCTCTCTGCCCTCTCTCTATGTATATACATTTGTATTAACAAGAACCCAGTTCTCATTCATTCTGGGGTAAGGGGCTTTCAGAGAAAAGGTAAACACCCTTGAGGCTTTCTGAAATGTCTTCTTTTTTTAATAGTAATGACCCTTTCTCCTTTACAGTTGAGTGTGGTGCTTTGCATGAAGTCACCCATCTCTTTCCCTAAGGAGGCCAACTTTGAAGGATAGACTTTGAAGAAAGTTTATCTCAGTGCTGTTTGTTAAGTGGCTTACCCCAAGAGGCCTCTTGCAGAAGTAATTGTTAAAACCATGAGGCACACCTGAGAGAAAGGCGCCAGGGACTACCTAACAAAGCTGGCACCTCTGGAGACACTTTGGAAGTATTTAATACATATGCCCTGATGGAGCATCTTACTCTTCAAAGAAAACAGTTTTGAGGCACCTAAGCAATTATGTACTTATTGACTTTGCGAAAACATTTATAACATCTTAACAATACAATTATCTGTAAGCTTTCTAATGAGCCCCCAAGTGACCTACTAGTGGAACAAAAACTTTCTTGATAAGAGCCAGTTTCCAAGAGACCATTTTTAATTGTATGAAAACTGAAAAATGATGGTGTTAAGAAGCTGCTGTTAGCTCTGTGTAAACTGTGTGGACTCTTTGCCAGTACAGCCCTCAGTGAACACACATCTTTAATAGAAATTAGCAATTGCTATAACCTGTAGTCTTAGAAGAAAATAAATACTGTAGAGGCCTCCAAAGTTATTCTAGTTACCTACTCTCTATATTGGGAGACAGAATTCAAACTCCAAAATTTCAAATTCTTCTTTGTTTTATGTCTAAGTGGGTTAGAATAATCTAATAAAATACTCCCAATAAACAAATCAATCCTGCATTCTTTTTAAATGTTCTGTGAAAGCAATAAACCTTGTAGCTAATTTTCAGTATGGCATATACACCAGTTAACAATACATCTTTTAGAATCAGATGGTGTGAGTTTGAACAATGAACCACCAATTGTTAGGTATGTGACTTAAAGAAAGCTAGTTAATTTGGTGGCTCAGTTGTAAAAAAGATGGTAATAGTATCTCTCACATGTGGCATGTTAAATGGGTTAATATATATTAACTACATTAAATAACATCACATATAAGCGTGGAAGAGATGTTAGTGCTCATCATTCAGCCACCCTAGTAACGATGTATTATTTTCTATAGTTATTTCAAAAAATACTTTTGTATTTTTGTTTTTAAAAATTATTTTTATTTTATAGAAGAGAAAATTCAGATTAAAGAAACCATAACTATCTTGACTAAGATTGCACTGGTATTTATCAGTAGTGTTCAACTTCAAATGCACATCTTCTGATTATGAGAATGGTGGTTCTTCCATCACCTTATAGCTATTTCCACATCCATTTACAATTCAAGCTCTTCCAATACTGGAAGTGTTAAAAATGGGATGGAAAACTGTAACTGGAAGAAATAAACACTGACTATTTTGTTTCACTTAAGGTTAATCAAATTTCAAAATGCACATTCTTTTTCCCATTACGGTGGTATAAGTAACTCATTCTGTCTCTTCCCCTGAGAAAGTTAAAATTGTCCCTGATTGCATGTGGTATATTATTGTACATAAAAGCTATAAAGAATTTATCAAAAAACTGTTAGAAATAATAAATGAATTCAATAAGGTTGCAGGATACAAATCAACATATAAAAATTATTTCCATACACTAACAACAATCTAAAAAAGAAATCAAGAAAACAACCCCACTTACAATAGCTACAAAAAAAAGAAAAATAACATACTTAAGAATTAACATAACCAAGGAGGTTAAAGATTTGTACACAAAAAAACTATAAAGCATTGATTAAAGTAATTGAAAAAGACACAAATAATTGGAAAAACATCCTATGGATATATCCTGCAAATTGGAAGAAATAATATTGTTAAAACGTTCATGCTATTCAAAGTAATCTACAGAGTCAGCATAATCTCATCAAAATATCGATGACATGTTTCACAGAAATGGGAAAAAATCCTATAATTCTATGGAACTAAAAAAATAACCCAAGTAGCCAAAGCAATCTTGCAAAAAATGAACAAAGCTGCAGGTATTATACTACCTGATTTGAAAATACACTCCAAAGCTAAAGCGATTAAGACAGCATGGTACTGGCATAAAAACAGACAGAAAGACCAATGGAAAAAAATAAAGAACTCAGAAATAAATGTATGCATTTACAGTCCATTGATTTTTGACAAAAGTGCCAATAGCACACAATGGAGAAAAGACAGTTCCTTCAACAACTAATGTTGGAACAATTGGATATTTGCATGCCAGTAGAATGAAATTGGACCCTAATCTCACACAATATTTTTTTAAAAAACTGAAAATGGATTAAAGACATTTGGATTAAATGTGTAATTTGAAATTGTAAAAATACTAGAAGAAAATATTGGGGAAAAAGTTCCATGACATTGATCTGGGAAAGACTTTTTGGATATGACCTTGAAAGTACTGGCAATAAAGCCAAAAAGAGACAATTTTGACTACATCAAACAAAAATGCTTCAGCACAGCCAAGCGAACAATCAACTGAGTGAAGAGACAACCTTTGTAATCGGCCAAGCACACATCTGTTAAGAGGTTACTATTCAAAATATATATTACAAATAACCCAATTAAAGAAAACAAATAACCTGGTTACGATCAAATGACCTGAAGAGACATTTCTCAGAAGAAGACATGCAAATGGCCAACAGGTATATGAAAAAATACTAAATTAATAGTCAGCAGAGAAAGGCAAATGAAAACCACAATGAGATATAACCTTATATCTGTTAGAATAATTAATATTAAAAAGACAAAAGGTAACACATGCTGATAAGGATGTCAAGAAAAAGGAACTCTTCCGCACTGTTGATGCGAATGTGAGTAAGTATAGCCATTATAGAAAATAGTATGAAAGTTCTTTAAAAAATTAAAAATAAAACCACCATATGATCAAGGAATCCCATTACTTGGTATATATCCAAGGAAATGAAATCAGCATATCAAAGAAATATGTGCACTCCAATGTTTATTGCAGCACCATTCATAATAGCCAAGACATGGAATCAACCTAAGTGTTCATCAGCGGATGAATGGATAAATAAAATATGGCATATGTACACAATAGAATACTATTCAGTCTTAAAAAAGAAGCAAATTCTGTCATTTGTGACAACATGGATGAACCTGGAGAACGTTATTTTAAGTGAAGTAAGCTAGGAACAGAAAGACAAATGCTACATGATCTCACATTATGCAGAATTTTTAAAAGTTGAAATCATAGAAATAGAGAGTAGAATTGTGGTTACTAGGGGCTGGGAGGGGATGTGGTGGGGAGATGTTGGTAAATGGATACAATATTTCAGTTATATAGGAGAAATAAGTTCAAGAGATCTATTGTACAACATGGTGACTGTAGTTAATAACGTTTTGTATTCTTGAAAATTGCCAAAAGAATAGATGAGTTTTCTCACCACAAAAAAGTATGTGAGGTATTGCATACGTTGATTAGCCATTTCACAAGGTATACATATTTCAAGACATCATGTTGTACATGATAAATATAATTTTTATTTGCCAACTATAACAATAAACGAATAATAGTGTATGACAGGTAAAAAAAGATTGTAAGCAAATTATTTTCTTATATTACAAAGAAAAACAAACCTTTGATTCCTTTGATTTAAAACCTCATCAGTTTTTAACTTCCAAATCCACAGGTGTACCTACCATTTCTGCCTTCATTTCTCTAACTGTGGTGAACTCCTCCGGCTATGCTCAGTATGGTAACTGCTGCTGCTTTCTCAGGTGTATAATGCCAATGACTATTGGCTCCCTTTTCTGTTTCTTTATCCTCACTTCGCACAGTTCTTACTGTCCTTCCTTTTCTGTTTTGAGAAAACAGGGCTCAAATTGTCTGTGAACCTCTCTAGTGGTATTGAAATGGGAAAAGTTCCCTTGTCCCCCTCGCAGGGCATGCGATGGGGATGTGGCTCACTTTTTCAGGGCCCCACTGCTCAAACAACTAGGGGAGCTTACAGACAGGCAGACTGTGGAGCTCCAACCCCATGGCAGTGTTTAGGGGTGAATGTTTGCAGCTTCTGAAGCCCCAGTGGGCGTGTGTTACAGGGTGCTCTTAATTTGCTGTCTACAGGTGGCTTGTGTTAGCCCAATTAGACCTTCTACCTTGTCCGAGGACAGAGGGCTTTCTGTATCCCAGGGTTTCTTGCCTTGGTGTACCGGGAGAATTAGATCACACGTGGGCTTGGAGAATTAGTGTAAAGCTTTATTGAGTGGAAGTAGCTCTCAACTGATGGGGGAGCCAGAAGGGAAATGGTCTTCCCCTGGAGTTGGGCCACTCGGCCTTGCTCTCCTCTGCCGCGGCCAAACTCCACCTCCTCCCACCAGCTGATGGCCTGCTGGTATGCTGGTGCCTGTCTGTGTGCTCTTCTGCCTGCGTGCTCCTCTTGACATCCTCTCGAGGACCAGCCGCTTGCATCTTCTTTCGCCAATGTACTCCTCTGGACATCTGGCCACCTGTGTGTCTGCCTGCTGGGGCCTCGGGTTTTTATAGGCCAAGGATGGGGGCATGGTGGGTCAGGGTGGACTTTTGAAATGCAACATTTGGGCGAAAAAGCAGGAGTGCCTGTCCTCACCTAGGTCCGTGGGATGGAGCCCTAGTCAGGGAACACACCTTCCTCTACCCAGCACTTCTCTTCTCCCCTTTTGTATCATTTAAAGGGACCACGTTCTTCCCTTCCCAGCACTCCCTTATCAGTATGCTAGCATATTGCTTTTGGGATTCACTTCTCTAGGTTTTATTGTGTGTATTTTACTTTTTTTGTTTTTAATGTTTCTTTACTTATTTTCTTTAGTATACTGAAACTGAACAGCCTTAGATGTAACAAAATGCTATATTTGTTCAGAGCTGTGAGTTAATCATTGGAAGAGCATCAGAAAGTAAAGAAAACGAATGGGATATAAACAGAATGTGAGAATTGCAGTGGCATTGATAAAACAGATGGCAACTGATTTTGATTAAAGGGTTATGAGTTTGAATTAAAACAAAATATGGCGTGAGATTTGGTTGAATTTAGAATAGAAGTAAAAGCTGCAGATAAATAAAGTGAAAGTCAGTGGTACATGGTTAATATTTAAAGCAAAAAAAAAGTGAAAGAGGTAGACTACATTGAGACAGAAGAGCATGTTGTCAAAGTATGAGGCTTGGATGTTTCCCACTTTGGAAATATTTGATGAGAAATACGTGTTGACCAAAAAAAATTTTTTATCATCTAATAAGCAAATGTGTCAGAAAATTTTGACTTAAAATAATATTTGCAACCAACTAAATTATATCATTCATTATCTCTACTTATTCATCTATTCTGTGAACATAATATTCTGGAATAATATTCTATGGTGAATGAAATAAACTATGGGATGTGAGAAATACTAAAACGTATACTTCCTGTAAGATGTGTGTTAACTGGGAGCATAAAAAGTAGTAAGAAAGCAAAAACTTTCATGCACAAACCCTCTAGGATGTTCAATGTCATGGTAGTTTTATGGTATGTTTATATATATTTTAAATTTTATTTTATTTTAGGTTCCAGGATACATGTGCAGACGTGCAGGTTTGTTACATAGGTAAACGTGTGCCATGGTGATTTGCTGCACCTAACCACCCATCACCTAGGTATTAAGCCCTGCATGCATTAGCCATTTGTCCTGATGCTCTCCCACCCTCCACCCGCCGACAGGCCCTGGTGTGTGTTGTTCCCTCCCTGTGTCCATGTGTTCTCTTTATTCTACTCCCACTTATTAGTGAGAACATGCGGTGTTTGGTTTTCTGTTTCAGTTACTTTGTTGAGGATGATGGCTTCCAGCTTCATCTATGTCCCTGCAAAGGACATGATCCCATTCCTTTTTATGGCTGCATAGTATTCCATGATATATATGTACTACATTTTATGTATTCTATCATTGATGGGCATTTGGATTGATTCCAAGTCTTTGCTATTGTGAATAGTGCTGCAATAAACATATGTGTGTGTATCTTTATAATAGAATGATTTATATTCCTTTGGTTATATACCCAGTAATGGGATTGCTGGGCTAAATGGTATTTCTGGTTCTAGATCCTTGAGGAATTGCCACACTGTCTTCCACAATGGTTGAACTAATTTACATTCCCTCCAACAGTGTAAAAGTGTTCCTATTTCTCCACAGCCTTGCCAGCATCTATTGTTTCTTGACTTTTTGATAATTGCTCTTCTGACTGGCATAAGATGGTAGCTCATTGTGGTTTTAATTTGTATTTCTCTAACAATCAGTGATGTTGAGCTTTTCTTCATAATTTGTTGGCTGTGTAAGTATCTTCTGAGAAGTGTCTGTTCATATCCTTTGCCCACTTTTTGATGGGGTTATTTGTTTTATTATTGTAAATTTGTTTAAGTGCCTTGTAAATTCTGGATATTAGACCTTTATCAGATGGGTAGATTGCAAAATTTTTTTCCCATTCTTCAGGTTGCCTGTTCACTCTGATGGTAGTTTCTTTTGGTGTGCAGAAGCTCTTTAGTTAATTAGATCCTGCTTGTCAATTTTTGCTTTTGTTGCAATTGCTTTTGACAATTTCATCATAAAATTTTTGCCCATGCCTATTCTCTGAATGGTATTACCTACATTTTCTTCTAGGATTTTTATCGTTTTAGGTTTTACATTTAAGTCTTTAATACATCTTGAGCTAATTTTTGTATAAGGTGTAAGGAAGGGGTCTAGTTTCAGTTTGCTGCATATGGCTAGCCCATTTTCCCAGCACCATTTATTAAATAGGGAATCATTTCCCCATTGCTTGTTTTTGTCAGGTTTGTTGCAATTCAGATGGTTGTAGATGTGCCGTCTTATTTCTGATCTGTTGGTCTATGTGTCTGCTTTGGTACCAGTACCATGCTGTTTTGGTTACTGTAGCCTTGTATTATAGTTTGAAGTCAGGTGGCATTATGCCTCCAGCTGTGTTCTTTTTGCTTAGGATTGTCTTGGCTATACAGGCTCCTTCTTGGTTCCATATGAGTTTTAAAGTAGCCTTTTTTTTTTAATTCTCTGAAGAATGTCAATGGTAGTTTGATGGGAATAGCACTGAATCTATAAATTACTTTGGACAGTATGGCTATTTTCACAATATTGGTTCCTCGTATCCACAAGGATGAAATGTTTTTCCATTTGTTTGTGTCCTCTCCTAATTCCTTGAGAAGTGGTTTGTAGTTCTCCTTGAAGTCTTTCACATCCCTTGTTAGCTGTATTCCTAGGTATTTTATTCTCTTTGTAGCAATTATGAATGAAGGTTCATTCATGATTTGGTTCTCTGTTTGTCTATTGTTGGTGTATAGAAATGCTTGTGATTTTTGCACATTGATTTTGTATCCTGAGACTTTGCTGAAGTTGTTTATCAGCTTAAGGAGATTTTGGGCTGAGACGATGGGGTTTTCTAAATATACAATGTCATCTGCAAACAGAGACAATTTGATTTCCAGTCTTTTTATTCAAATACGCTTTATTTCTTTCTCTTGCCTGATTGCCCTGGCCAGAACATCCAATACTATGTTGAATAGGAATGGTGAAAGAGGATTTCCCTGTCTTGTGATAGTTTTCAAAGGGAATGCTTCCAGCTTTTGCCTATTCAGTATGATATTGGCTGTGGGTTTGTCATAAATAGCTCTTATTATTTTGAGATATGTTCCATCAATACCTAGTTTATTGAAAGTTTTTAGTATGAAGGGATGTTGAAATTTATCGGAGGCCTTTTCTGCATCTATTTAGATAATCATGTGGTTTTTGTCATTGGTTCTGTTTATGTGATGAATTGCATTTATTGATTTGTGTCTGTTGAACCAGCCTTCATCCCAGGGATGAAGCCGACTTGATTGTGGCAGATAAGCTTTTTGATGTGCTGCTGGATTTGATTTGCCAGTATTTTATTGAGGATTTTCACATTGATGTTCATCAGAGATATTGGCCAGAAGTTTTCTTATTTTGTTCCGTCTCTGCCAGGTTTTAGTATCAGGATGATGCTGGGCTTATAAAATTAGTTAGGGAGAAGTCCCTCCTTTTGAATTGTTTGAAATAGTTCCAGAAGGAGTGGTACCAACTCCTTTTTGTACCTCTGGTGGAATTCGACTGTGAGTCCATCTGGTGCTGGGCTTTTTTTGGTTGTTAGGCTATTTATTACTGCTTCAATTTCAGAATTTGTTATTGGTCTATTCAAGGATTTGAATTCTTCCTGGTGTAGTCTTGGGAGGGTGTATGCATCCAGGAATTTATTCATTTCTTCTAGATTTTCTAGTTTGTTTGCATGAGATATTTATAGTATTCTCTGATGGTAGTTTGTATTTTTATGGGGTCAGTGGTGATATGCCCTTTATCATTTATATTGTGTCTATTTGATTCTTCTCTTTTTTCTTCTTTATTAGTCTAGCTAGCAGTCTATTTTATTAATGTCTTCAAAAAAGAAACAACTTCTGGATTTATTGATTTGCTGAAGCATTTTCTTGTGTCTGTCTCTTCTTCAGTTCTTCTCCGATCTTAGTTATTTCTTGTTTTCTGCTAAATTTTGGATTTATTTGCCCTTGCTCCTCTAGTTCTTTTGTTGTGATGTTAGGGTGTCAGTTTGAGTTCTTTCTAGTGCTACAAATTTCCCTCTAAACATTGCTTTAGCTGCATCCCAGAGATTCTGGTATGTTGTCTCTTTGTTCTTATTGGTTTCAAGAATGGTTTAGTTTCTGCCTTAATTTCATTATTTACCTAGAAGTCAGTCAGGAGCAGGTTGTTCAATTTCCATGTCATTGTTGGTTTTGAGTGAGGTTCTTAATCCTGAGTTCTAATTTGATTGAACTGTGGTCTGAGAGACTGTTTGTTATGATTTCAGTTCTTTTGCATTTGTTGAGGAGTGCTTCACTTCCCATTATGTGATCGATTTTAGAGTAAATGCCACGTGGCACTGAGAAGAATGTATATTCTGTTGTTTCAGGCTGGAAGGGCTTGCAGATATCTATCAGGTTCACTTGATCCAGAGCCAAGTTCAAGTCCTGAATATCCTTGTTAGTTTTCTGTCTTGATGATCTGTCTAATGTTGAGAATGGGGTGTTAAAGTCTCTTAGTATTATTGTGTGGAAGTCTACGTCTCTTTGTAGCTCTCTAAGAGCTTGCTTCATGAATCTGGGTGCTCCTGTATTGGGTGCATATACATTTAGGATAGTTAGCTCTCCTTGTTGAAGTGACCCCTTTACCATTATGTTATCCCCTCCTTTGTGTTTTTTATCTTTTTTGGTTTAAAGTCTGTTTTATCAGAAACTAGGATTACAATCCTTGCTTTTCTCTACTTTCCATTTGCTTGGTAAATTTTTTCCATCCCTTTATTTTGAGCCTATGTGTGTCCTGGCACATGTCAAGGATCTCCTGAATACAGCACACTGAGGGGTCTTGACTCTTTATCCAATTTGCCAGTCTGTGTCTTTTAATTGGGTCATTTAGCCCATTTACATTTAAGGTTAATATTGTTATATGTGAATTTGATCCTGTCATCATGATGCTAGCTGGTTATTTTGCACACGAGTTGATGCAGTTTCTTTATAGTGTCATTGATCCTTGTATTTCAGTGTGTTTTTGCAGTGGCTGATACTGGTTTTTCCTTTCTGCCCCCCATGTTCATATATTTATTCAGGAGTATTTACCACCTATGATAGGCCAGGAATTATTCTCTTCTTGGCCCTAAAGATAAAGAGGTGAACAGGATACATAATTCTGATAATAATAACTTTAGATAACTGCTATGAAATGAAAGACAGAGTGGAGTTATCAAGAGTTATTGAGTGGGGGAGTGGTGAGAAGTTGTAATTTTAAATAGATTAGTCAAGTAACTCTCACTACCACCACCACCACCATTTCAGGCAGTACCATGTGATTTAAGGAGGAATAGAAAACATTAGGTGGAATGATGGAGGAGAAAGTAGATTTTGAATTGAACTATAAAGAATGAAGAGAATTTTGAACAAATAAGGGAGGAGATGTGAATTCCAAATTAAGGGAATCGTCATAATAGTGGTATGTAGTCAGGAAAGATCAAGCCATACCTGGAGAAGAATTATTTAGGGTTCCTGCAGGAGATGAGTTACAAAGTAGGTAGTACTTAGATTTTATAGACAGTGGTTACAAATATATTTAGTTAAATGAAGAGTGTGCCAGTAAGCCAGTAGAGTTTATTAAAACAAAAACAGTATAGGAGACTGTACATAACACCATGTTAAGAAAGTTAACTCAGAAATGATGTGCAGGGTACATTAAACAGAATAGGAATGGAGACAAGGCACTCCACTAGAACACTATGACAACATTACACAAAAGAGGGGCTGGGAAGTCAAGACTTAATCAAGGGAGGCATCAGTAGGTATGGGAAGAAAAAGAAGACGGTCCTGAGAGAATAGTGAAGAAAGACACTAGACAACTTGTATCTACCTGATCTATAAGCCTTTTTCTATCTCTCTTTCAATCTCTTAGGCTCTTACATTGTATGTTATTTATTTTCCCTTCTTGGTATCTCTAAGTCTCTTTATCTTTTAAATTTTCTCTCCAGTGTCTGTATTTATTTCTCTCTTCCACCACTTAGTCTTCCTTCCCATTTGTCTTGACTTCATAACTGTACTTTACATGGTAATAACACATAGAAAATAGTAATTAAGTACTTTTACTTTTAACATTAGTAATTTCTACTTTTTTTTCTAAATTTAGTCATTATATAACTAAGACTTTTTATTCCCCATCAAAAAACCCTTGTTTTTTCTGTATGTTTTATCTGATTCTGTTTTCTAAATTTTTAGCGAAAAAAGTTTCCCAAATTTAAGATACTCTATAAAATAGTAATATGTTTTGGGGACTTAGTTTTAGAAAAATCCCTCAGGAAATTCTGCCTTTTGAATAGAATAAAGAATGCATGTCAAATGGGATTGAAAATTATGACTGTCTTCATTCCAATGTGAAGATAAATTGGCCTTGGCCCATGCAGCAGGTGATAAAATTAAAATTAGCTACCAACAGATCTGGAGGTAAAACATCACTTTACTGTGTTTACATTTCTTAATCTATTGGTGATGATGTTTTATTAAGAAGGGCCTACTAAAGAAAGAAAGGTCAAAAGCATGGCTTAAGTAGTAAGAACAGAAAAATATGACACACATATGAGGAATGTGAAGAAAAATATTTCACATTATTTAATATACAGAAAGCAATATGAAAAAGCAGGGAAATTTTCAAGTGATGAAGTCCATTAAACAAATATCTCATGAAAGAGGGAAACAGTCTTTGAATGCAAAATTCAGGAATGGAAAAATAAATAAGAAGATAATATCTAAAGAGAGCAACATTGATATCTCTCATAGAACTAACTAAAGCTCAAGAATAAGTACACTTAGACTGGAGTGTATCAACTCTTCAATATCTGTCCCAACATTGCAATTATCTTTTAAACTTTCAATAAAAACAGCTGACTGGTGAAAAAGTTAATTTTGTAGTATAAGATTATTGAACCTGTGAGGTTCAATAAGTGAGTTTACTATCCAAAGAGGAAATTGGTGGCTGCCACTTGCTCCCTATAGTTTTGACAGCTTCTTTGATGTCCTTATTCCTCAATGTGTAAATTATAGGGTTTAGCATGGGGGTAACAACACTGTACAACACTGAAACCAACCTATCTTTCTTTAATGAGTAAGTTGAGATGGGCCGTACATATGTAAAGATGGCGCTGCCATAAAAGAGAAAGACAATGGCCAGGTGGGAGGCACATGTAGAGAAGGCTTTTCGTCTTCCCTCTGAGGACTGGATCCTCAAGATGGTGGAGATTATGCAAATGTAGGAAAGTACGATACAAAGGAAAGGAGTCCAACCAATGAAGACCCCAGTGGATAGCAGTGCCAACTCATTGACAGAAGTGTTTCCACAAGACAAGATCAGCAAAGGGGGGATGTCACAGAAGAAGTAATTAATCTGATTGTTGCCACAGAAGGGCAGGCAGAATGTCAACACTGTATGCACCACTGAGTTAAGGAAACCAGCAGCCCAGCATGAGGCTGCTAATTGATTGCATAGAACCTTGCTCAGAATAACTGAATACCTTAAAGGATTGCAGATTGCAATGTAACGATCATATGCCATTGCTGCCAGTAGGAGACACTCTGATCCTACAAAGAAAACAAATGCAAAAAGTTGAACCACACACCCCACATAAGAAATGCTTTTTTTCTTTGAGAGGAGGTGCACCATCATCTGGGGGACATTGCTGGTGGTGTAGCAGATGTCAATAAAGGCCAAGTTCCCTAGAAAATAATACATAGGTGTATGCAGGTGTGGATCAGTCACAGTCGTCAAGATAATTAATATATTTCCTCCCAAAGTACAGAAATAAGTCAGAAAGAAGATGGTGAATAGTAAAAACTGCAATTCATTTAGGTTGGAGAATCCCAAGATGATGAATTCAGTTATAGCTGTTTGATTCTTTCTTTCCATGATGTCGCCTGGTTTCCTTTCAGGAATTGGGCAAAGAGAAGACCAGATTATAAAAATGAATCATATGCTGCAATAGCATGACCTGAAAAATAAGGGAAAAAACGGTTACAAATAAAAGTAATCACCATTTATGTCAAACCAGAGAAGCAGCATTCTTTTGCAAACCATAGCTCCTACCTACCATGCAACACAGATATAAATACATCCAATGTTTCACCTGCAGATCAAATCTTTTTAAATATACAACACTGGAAGTTTTAAATTAGAATACAAATGGACACCATATGTCCTAGAGTTCTCTGTTAATAATGGCTGGGTCATGCTCACCGGCATTTTCTTGGGGATGTGTGAACTTGTGCTGTAGAATGCGATTTCTAGAAGAATCTCTGGTATTCATTTGCTTCTTTGAAGCCATCCCTGCTCTCCTTTTTCATACTTCAACGTTAATATAAATTTTGTTTTATATTCTTTTCCGATTAAAATTAATGTATTTGTTTTAGAATATTTGGGAAAAATATAGAAAAGAAAATTTAAAACATTAAAAATCTTTAGTAGTCACCAGAGAAAATCTCTATTAATGATTTGGTATATGTTCTTCTGATCCATTTTCCATATAGAAATGTTGAATAGAGGATCAAAAGTACCTATTTTAATCTGATTTTTCCTTAATTTTCCGTGGCAATACATTTTATGCTAAAACATGATCTTTGAGTTGTATTCAAGTATTTGTATGAATATAGCAAAGTTTTTATATATCCCACCCTTATTAATGAATATTTATATTGTTTTATTTGTTCATTTTTGATATGATAAATTTCAACAAGAAGCATATTGAATTAGATTCCCTGAATTTGGGGTTAGGTTATCTGAATTTTTATAAACTTTCCAAGAGACTTATCCTAATGAATTAGAAACCTATTGCTATAGATCATCAATCTGGAAAATTCAAGAGCTATTTGGCTGGTGCAGGAATTAGTGTCTGTTTCAACAAATTATTGTTAAGTGCTTCATATAGAAGGATGCTGATAATCTCTGAGCACTTCCTACACAGCATCTCATTTAGTCTTTACATAAATCCTTTAAGATAAGTAATATTTATCATTCCCATTCTCTGGATGAGAGCACCAAGCCTCAGCAAGATAAACGTCTGGAAGATGTCACGCAGCTAGCAGGTAAAAAAAAGGTAGGTTTATCACTCCCAAAGCTAATATACTTTCAGTTGAGTGGCTAAAAATTTAATTTCCATTAACTTATGACAACAGAATGCCCTTAAAAAACACTTCTCTTGTTTTGAATATAACCTACGTTCATACAACTGAATTATTTTAACTGGTTACAAATTGTTATGACTTCTATTTCTGACTGTTAATGGCAATGTGCTATGCCTGCAGTGTTTTGATGGTTAAATCCAATTGTTTCTAAATACCTGGTTTTTATTTGAATATGTTTATTTGAACAATCAATTTCTAGTGTAGTTTTTTATTTCCTGGACCAGCTATAGATTAATTTAAATGTTCATGTTTGTGTTATTAAAAGATACTCTTCTAGAGCTTAGTTTAAGTTGGTTAATAAAAATGTTTAATAAAATTAAAACAGTTGTAGGGAGAATCCCCTAATTTAAAATGCTCAGGGCCTAATTCAAGTGAGAAAAATTAATCTGCAGTTTGATGTTTGAAGCAAATTATAAAAACTTAGATAAATAAAACAAAATAAAAACTTAAAAATGAAGATAATTGTTGTATATTCATTCAAACTATATACTTTATCGATTGCCCTCACCTATAGACAAATATGCATTTCAATGTCAAGTTTGAGAGGTGGCTTAATTGTGCTTTTGTTGTAATTGCTGTCTTCTTTCCTCGTGAACTACTGTGGATATTTTTAATGAAGGGAGAGGATAAGTTGAAAAAATTCACATAATATAGTATTTCACATTACCACAACTGAATAAATTCACTGGGACAATTTTCATTCCATCTACAGAAGAACTCCAAAATTGTATTCTCAAATCAATCTTTTTCCCTATTCCAAATCTCTATCTCCCCTTTCATCTTTTTTAACATTTCCTTCCACTTCTGAGGAGGAATTAACCCTTCTACTCATTTTATTCAACAAATGTATTTTAAGGCAAAAATGTGGAAAAAAGGGAACTGGCACAGTGTTAATGGAAATGTAAATTAATAGAGCCATTTTGGAAAACAGTGCAGTTTCTTCAAAAAACTAAAAATGCAACTACTATGTGATCCAGCAATTCCACTTCTGGATATATATTCAAAGGAATTGAAATCAGTATCTCAAAGAGATATCTGCACTCCCATGGTCTTTGCAGCATTATTCACAGTAGCCATGGAAACAACCTAAATCTTCACCAATAGATGAATGACTAAAGAAATGTTATATATACCTGGTGGAATACTATGCAGCCTTTAAAAAAAGAAAATCCTGTCATTTCTGACATGGGTTAAGCTAGAGGACATTATGCTGAGTGAAATGAGCCAGGCACAGAAAGACAAGTATTGCATGATCTCCCTTATATGTGGAATCTAAAAAGGTCAAATCTATTGAGGTAGAAAATAGAATGGTGGTTACCAGAGTTTGAGGTAGGAGTGGACAGGGGTGGACTGGTCAAAGGGTACAAAGTTTCAGTTACACAGGAGAAGTAACTTCTAATGATTTATTGTATAGCATGGTGACTATAGTTAAAATGTATTGTATATTCCAAAATTGCTAATGGAGTGGATTTTAAATATTTTCCCCACAAAGTAATGATAAGTATGTGAGGTGGCAGATATGTTATTTAGCCTGCTGTACTCATTCCAAAATATATACATGCATTATAACATCACGTTATATATATACTGCAGACTAGAGTGGTGACAATTTGGTTGGATAGAAATAGAGGCATTTGAGAGATATTAGAATATACAGTGTTACAATTTTGGTATAAAATGACGAAGAAGGATAAATTAAGGATAGTAGTTATAACCAACATATATTAAATGCTTATTATAACATAACCATTCAACAATCATTGTATTACCCAGTTCACATGCCCACACACACTAAAAACGCACACGCACACAATGAAAGAGACATATTATGTCCACATTACAAGTAAAAAATTTTAAAATAAGTTTCAGAGAAATTAAATAATTTGCCTAAAGTTACTCAGACTTGCAGTGGTGTTATTGGGTTTTACATTTCACTTTGTGGCCTAAACGAGTGCACTGTGCTGATCTAGATTCCTGGATTGAACAAGCAGATGGCTGGGGGTGTCATTCTCTGAAATGAAAGCAGGAAATTGGCACTTGTTGGCAAATCTGGCAAGATGGCTGAATAGGAACAGCTCTGCTCTGCAGCTCCCAGTGAGACCAATGCAGAAGGCAGGTGATTTCTGCATTTCCAACTGAGGTACCAGTTAGGTAACTGGTTAGGAAGCAGGTGCAGCACCTGGAGGGCAGGCAGAAGCATGGTGTGGCATCGCCTCACTCGGGAAGTGCAAGGAGCTTCCCCAGCCAAGGGAAGCTGTGAGGGACTGTGCTATTCACCCACATACTACACCTTTCCCACGGTTTTTGCAATCCGCAGACCAGGAGATTCTCTCATGTGCCTACACCACCAGGGGCCTGGGTTTCAAGCACAAAACTGGGTGGCTGTTTGGGCAGACACTGAGCCAGCTGCAGGAGTTTTTTTCATACCCCAGTGGCACCTGGAACATCAACAGACAGAACTGTTCACTCCCCTGGAAAGGGGGCTGAAGCCAAGTGCTCTCACTCAGCGGGTCCCACTCCTATGGAGCCCAGCAAGCTAAGGACCACTGGCTTAAAATTCTCACTGCCAGCACAGCAGTCTGAAGTCGACCCTGGATGATCGAGCTTGTTGTGGGGAGGGGCATCCACCATTAGTGAGGCTTGAGTAGGCAGTTTTCCCCTGACAGTGCTAAGGAGGCCTGGAAGTTTGGACTGGGTGGAACTCAACACAGCGTGGCAAAGTGGCTGTGGCCAGACTGCTTCTCTAGATTCCTCCTCACTGGGGAGGGCATCTCTGAAAGAAAGGCAGCAGTCCCAGTCAGGGGCTTAGAGATAAAACTCCCATCTTCCTGGGACAGAGCACCTGGGGGAAGGGGCAGCTGTGGGCGCAGCTTCATCAGACTTAAGCATTCCTGCCTGCCGGCTCTGAAGAGAACAGTGGATTCTGACAAGGAGGGTTCTCCCAGCACAGCGCTCAAGCTCTGCTAAGGGACAGACTGCCTCTGCCAGTGAATCCCTGACCCCAGTGCCTACTGACTGAGAGAGACTCCCCAACAGGGGTTGACAGACACCTCATAGAGGAGAGTCCAGCTGGCACTGGGCTTCCCTTTGGGATGAAGCTTCCAGAGGAAGAAGCAGGCAGTAATAGTTGCCGTTCTGCAGCCTCCACCGGTGATACTCAGGCAAATAGGGTCTGGAGTGAACCTTGAGCAAACTGCAGCAGACCTGCAGAAGAGGGGCCTGACTGGTAGAAGAAAAACTAACAAACAGAAAGCAATAACATCAACATCAACAAAAAGGACCCCCACACAAAATCCCATCCAAAGGTCATCAACCTCAAAGATCAAAGGTAGATAAATCCACGAAGATGAGGAAAAACCAGCACAAAAATGCTGAAAATTCCAAAAACATTCTTCTAGAGAAAAATGTCTTTTCTCCAAATGATTGCAACTCCTCTCCAGCAAGTGCACAAAACTGGGCAGAGAATGAGTTTGATGAATTCACAGAAGTAGGCTTCAGAAGGTGGGAAATAACAAACTCCATTGAGCTAAAGGAGCATGTTCTAACCCAATGCAATGAAGCTAAGAAATTTGACAAAAGATTACAGGAACCGCTAACTAGAAGTTTAGAGAAAAACATAAGTGACTTGATGGAGCTGAAAAACACATCATGAGAACTTCATGAAGCATACACAAGTATCAATAGCTGAATTGATCAACCAGAAGAAAGGATATCAGAGATTGAAGATCAACTTACTAAAATAAGGTGTGAAGACAATATTAGAGAAAAAAGAGGGAAAAGGAAGGAAAAAAGTCTCCAAGAAATATGGGACTATGTGAAAAGACCAAACATGTGATTGGGTGGTATACTTGAAAGTAACATGGAGAATGAGACCAAGTTGGAAAACACACTTCAAAATATTATCCAGGAGACCTTCCCCAACCTAGCAAGACAGGTCAACATCCAAATTCAGGAAATACAGAGAACACCACTAAGATACTCCTCGAGAAGGGCAACCCCAAGACACATAATCATCAGATTATCCAAGGTCGAAATGAAAGAAAAAATGTTAAGGACAGTCAGAGAGAAAGGTCAGGTTACCTACAAAGGGAAGCCCATCAGACTAACAGTGGATCTCTCCGCAGAAAACCCACAAGCCAGAAGAGAGTGGGGACCAATATTCAACATTCTTAAAAAAAAAGAATTTTCAACTCAGAATTTTGCATACAGCCAAACTAAGCTTCATAAGTGCAGGAGAAATAAAATCATTTACAGACAAGCAAATGCTGAGGGATTATGTCACCACCAGGCCTGCTTTACAAGAGCTCCTAAAGGAAGCACTAAACAGGGAAAGGAAAAAGTAGTACCAGCCACTGCAAAAACACACCGTAATATAAAAACCAAAGACACTATGAAGAAACTGCATCAACTAATGTTCAAAGTAACCAACTAGCATCATGATGAATGGATCAAATTCACACTAACAATATTAATCTTAAATGTAAATGGGCGGCTGAATGTCCCAATTAAAAGACACAGACTGGCAAATTGAATAAAGTGTCAAGACCCATCAGTGTGCAGTATTCAGGAGACCCATCTCATGTGCAAAGACACACATAGGCTCAAAACAAAGGGACAGAGAAATATTTACCAAGCAAATGGAAAGAGAAAAAAAAAGCAGGGGTTGCAATCCTAGTCTCTGATAAAACAGAATTTAAACCGACAGAGATCAAAAAAGACAAAGAAAGGCATTACACAATGGTAAAGGGATCAATGCAACAAGAAGAGCTAACTATCCTAAATACATATGCACCCAATAAAGGAGCACCCAGATTCATAAAACAAGTTCTTACAGACCTACAAAAGACTTAGACTCCCATACAATAATAATGGAAGACTTTAACACTCCACTGTCAATATTAGACAGATCAATGAGACAGAAAATTATCAAGAATATTCAGGACTTGAATTCAGCTCTGGACCAAGCAGACCTAATAGACATCTACTGAACTCTCCACCCCAAATCAACAGAATATACATTCTTCTCAGCACCACATAGCAATTATTCTAAAATCGACCACATAATTGGAAGTAAAACACTCCTCAGCAAATGCAAAAGAATGGAAATCAAAACAAACAGTCTCTCAGACCACAGTGCAATCAAATTAGAACTCAGCATTAAGAAACTCACTCAAAACCTCACAACTACATGAAACCTCACAATTACATTAACAACCTGCTCCTGAATGACTACTGGGTAAATAATGAAATTAAGGGAGGAATAATGAAGTTATTTGAAACCAGTGAGAACAAAGAGACAATAAACTATAATCTCAGGGACACAGCTAGAGCAGTGTTAAGAGAAAAATTTAGAGCACTAAATGCCCACGTCAGAAAGCAGGAAAGATTTAAAATCGACCCCCTAACATCACAATTAAAAGAGCTAAAGAAGCAAGAGCAAACACATTCAAAAGCTAGCAGAAGACAAGAAATAACTAAGATCAGAGCAGAACTGAAGGAGATAGAGACACGAAAAACCCTTCAAAACATCAGTGAATGCAGGAGCTGGTTATTTGAGAAGATTAACAAAAGAGATAGACTGCTAGCCAGACTAGTAAAGAAGAAAAGAGAGAAGAATCAAATAGACACAATAAAAAATGGTAAAGGAGTTATCACCACTGATCCCACAGTAATAGAAACTACCATGAGAGAATACTATAAATATCTCTATGCAAATAAACTAGAAAATCTAGAAGAAATGGATAAATTCCTGGACACATACACCCTTCCAAGCCTAAACCAGGAAGAAGTCGAATCCCTGAATAGACCAATAACAAGTACTGAAATTGAGGCAGTAATTAGTAGCCTAAAAAAACAAAAAATCTCCAGGATCTGATGGATTCATGGCTGAATTCTACCAGAGGTACAAAGAGGAGCTGGTACCATTCGTTTTGAAACTATTCCAAACAATAAAAAAGAGGGACTCCTCTCTAGCTCATTTTATGAGGCCAGCATCATCCTGATACCAAAACCTGGCAAAGACACAACAAAAAAAGAAAATTTCAGTCCAATATCCCTAATGAACCTCGATGCAAAAATGCTCAATAAACTACTGGCAAACCAAATCCAGCAGCACATCAAAAATCTTATCCACTACAATCAAGTCGGCTTCATACCTGGGATAAAAGGCTGGTTCAACATACACAAATCAATAAACATAATCTATCACATAAACAACCAATGACAAAAACCACATGATTATCTCAATAGATGCAGAAAAGGCCTTTGATAAAATTCCATACCCCTTCATGCTAAAAACTCTCAATAAACTAAATATTGATGGAACATATATATAAAAAAAGACCTATTCACAACAAACCCATAGCCAATATCATAATGAATGGGCAAAAGCTGGAAGCGTACTCTTTGAAAACCTGCACAAGTCAAGGATGCCCTCTCTCACCACTCCTATTCCACATAGTATTGGAAGTTCTGCCCAGGGCAATCAGGCAAGAGAAAGAAATAAATGGTATTCAAATAGGAAGAGAGGAAGTCTAATTGCCTCTGTTTGCAGATGACATAATTGTATATTTAGAAAACCCCATCATCTCAGCCCAAAACTCCTTAGGCTGATGAGCCACTTCAGCAAAGTCTCAGGATACAAAATCAATGTGCAAAAATTACAAGCATTCCTATACACCAATAATAGACAAGCAGAAAGCTGAATCATGAGTGAACTCCCATTCACAATTACCATAAAAAAATAAGATACCTAGGAATACAACTTACAAGGGATGTGATGGACCTCTTTAAGGAGAATTACAAACTGCTTCTCAAGGAAATAAGAGAGGACACAAATGAAGAGAAAAAAATTCCATGGTCATGGATACGAAGAATCAATACTGTGTAAATGGCCATACTGCCCAAAGTAATTTATAGATTCAATGCTATTCCCATCAAGCTACCATTGATTTTCTTCTCAGAACTAGAAAAAACGACTTTAAATTTCATATGGAACCAAAAAAAGAGCCCGTATAGCCAAGACAATCCTAAGCAAAAAGAACAAAGCTGGGCCGGGCGCGGTGGCTCACGCCTGTAATCCCAGCACTTTGGGAGGCCGAGGCGGGCGGATCACGAGGTCAGGAGATCGAGACCATCCCGGCTAAAACGGTGAAACCCCGTCTCTACTAAAAATACAAAAAATTAGCCGGGCGTAGTGGCGGGCGCCTGTAGTCCCAGCTACTTGGGAGGCTGAGGCAGGAGAATGGCGTGAACCCGGGAGGCGGAGCTTGCAGTGAGCCGAGATCCCGCCACTGCACTCCAGCCTGGGCGACAGAGCGAGACTCCGTCTCAAAAAAAAAAAAAAAAAAAAAAAAAAGAACAAAGCTGGAGGCATCATGTTACCTGACTTCAAACTAGACTACAAGGCTACAGTAACCAAAACAGCATGATACTGGTACCAAAACTGATATATAGACCAATGGAACAGAACAGAGGCCTCAGAAATAACACCACACATCTACAACCTGACAAACCTGACAAAACCTTTGTTTTGACAAACCTGAAAAAACCTGACAAACCTGACAAAAACAAGCAATGGGGAAAGGATTCTTTGTTGAATAATTGGTGCTGGGAAAATTGGCTAGCCACATGCAGAAAACAGAAACTGGACCCCTCCCTTACACCTTATACAAAAATTAACTCAAGATGGATTAAAGACTTAAACATAAAACCTAAACCCATACAAACCCTAGAAGAAAACCTTGGCAATACCATTCAGGACATAGGCATGGGCAAAGACTTCATGACTAAAACACCAAAAGCAATGCAACAAAAGCCAAAATTGACAAACGGGATCTAATTAAACTAAAGAGCTTCTGCATAGAAAAAAAAAAAAAAACTATCATCGGACTGAACAGGAAACCTACAGAATGGGAGAAAATTTTGGCTATCTATCCATCTGGCAAAGGTCTAATATCCAGAATCTACAAGGAACTTAAACATATTTACAAGAAAAAACAAACAACCCCATCAAAAAGTGGGTGATGGATATGAACAGACACTTCTCAAAAGAAGACATTTATGTGGCCAACAAACATATGAAAAAAAGCTCATCATCATGGGTCATTATAGAAATGCAAATCAAAACCACAATAAGATACCATCTCACGCCAGTTTGAATGGAAATCATTAAAAAGTCTGCAAACAGCAGATGTTGGCGAGGATGTGGAGAAATAGGAAGGCTTTTACATTGTTGATGGGAGTGTAAATTAGTTCAACCATTGTGGAAGGCAGTGTGGCAATTACCCAAGGATCTATAACCAGAAATACTATTTAACCCAGCAATCCCATTACTGGGTATATACCCAAAGGATTATAAATCATTCTACTATAAAGACACATGCATACGTAGGTTTATTGTGGCATTATTTAAAGTAGCAAAGACTTGGAACCAACACAAATGCCCATCAATGATAGACTGGATAAAGAAAATGTGGCACATATATACCATGGAATACTATGCAGCCATAAAAAAGAATGAGATCATGTCCTTTGTAGGGACATGGATGAAGCTGGGAACCATCATCCTCAGCAAACTATCACAGGAACAGAAAACCAGACACTACATGTTCTCACTCATAAGTGGGAGTTGAACAATGAGAACACATGGACACAGGGAGGGAACCTCACACACTGGGGCCTGTTGGGGAGTAGGTGGCAAGGGGAGGGAGAGCATTAGGACAAATAGCTAATGCATGCGGGGCTTAAAACCGAGATGACGTGTTGATCAGTGCAGCAAACCACCATGGCACATGTACACCTATGTAACAAACCTGCACATTCTGCATATGTATCCCTGAACTTAAAGTAAAGTATATTAAAAAAAAAAAAAAAAAAAGGAAATCCAGGGGGAGATCATGTGTTCAGTTTTGGCCATGCTGAATTTGAGATATCTGAATATCTAAGAAAATATGTTTATTTGACATATTTTGGTATGTGGCCTCAGAGGAGAGGTATGTACTAGAGATACGAATTTGTAACACATCAGCATATAGAGGATAGTTGAAACTACTCCTATGGATGGGAGAGTGTGAAGTAGGAAAAAAGAGAACACAGAATTGAACTTTCTCAGAACTAATTTCCTGCATGTAGAAGCTAAACTATGAGACTAAGAAGGAGAAGCATAAAAGTAGAAATTCAAGGAAGCACTGAATTACAGTTAGTGTATGAAAGAGTGCTGTTATTAAAAGAACTGTTTGTGAAAATAAGGGGCCCCATTTTTCTTGCCAGACCATTCCTCATGAGAAAAGCTATCCTGCAGAGAACTGCCCTCCAACACAAACATAGGTCATTATGAGATGGTATCAGCTGTCCAGTTCTCAAAATAGCGAAGGAGGACACACTTGGCTCAGCAGCCCACCTCCCTTCTCAGGGTTTCTTACACATTAAGAGAAGGAATTACTTTCTCCTGGGGATCTCCTGATGCTTTTGTTTTGTTACCCAAGTCCTCTATGTTCTGTGATCATTGCCCTTTACTTCAAAACATGCCTTTCCCATGTCCCTATTTGTGGGGAAGCTGTTGTGATAAAACGACTAAATGAAATAACTTAAACAATAATGTATTACTCCTCTAAGGTTATTTGCCTTAAAATAAGAATTTTCTTTTTCAGAATAGCCTCTTAATTTTAGTCATTTTTTTATCCACTCAGCCTGTATGTTTTTCTTCCTGCTTTCATTTCTGTCTGCTAATCTACATATTTTTAAAGCTCAGCTTAAATGCCTCTTTTCTCTTCAAGTGAAATGCTTCTGTCCCTTCCTGGAAAATCTATAGGCATTTGTTTCAATCTTGATTATGACACATAACACACAACATACTTATTTGTGTGACATATCACTTGTTTGTCCATAATATCTTATGGTGCATATTCTGTCTTACTAATCTATTTCTCAATGAATTAATACGTAACTGGGGACACAGTGGTCTTACATTCAGTAATGGATTACTACTGTTGGAATATAAGGCAGTATAGCAAAATTTTCCAAGAAAACAATTGTATTTCCTCCCTTTTTTACATACTTATTATGATGTAGAACTTGGAAAAAATGTTCAGACCTTACATATTATTTTTATTCTTATAACATTTATATTAGTTAGAGTAGAGGAGTCTGTAATTTATGGTGGATTACTTATAAGATCAAATAGTTAACAAGTAGTGAACTAAGAGTAGAAAAAAATTCTTCTATTTCCAAATCTAGAACAACATCCTGCAGCTGGTACTCAAATTGTGCTACATGGGTCATTGTTGCCTCTCATAGGCATAGATTGACCCTGAGACAGAATAGAATTCACCACGCAAAGCACAAGTATTTCACACAGAGTTATAGGAAAATTACTGCTTTTCCAAGCAGCCATGGTCTTGACTCCTTACTAAAGAACCGAAACTTGATATAATACAAGGACAACTGAGAAAATGTTTTCAGAATTTCATATCATAGTAAAGAGCTCAAGAATGGCCTCTAAGAACCCACAAGGAGAGGCCCCCAGAAAATTCACGAGAATGTTTGCCCTCCAAGCTCAGTCTTGACTTTTTCATTTCCTTCTAACAGACCCAGTAGCTCTTCATTAAAGAGTGTTCTCAAAAAAGAGACCTTAGAAATTCAGAATCTTAAAATTTCAAATTTTCTCAAAATATACTATCCAATTTCTTACTAAAAACTGAAATCACATAGCAAACGTGAAAATCAGTGTGGCTAAAGCTCAATCAATAATAGCTAGCATGCAAGGTTATTAGATCCACATGAAAGATGGTTTCTTGTGAGAAAGTCACACGAAGTGTGTTCCTGATACTATTCTCTGCAGTCCAGTGGCATTTTAGTCTCTTTTTGCAGAATAAATACACTGTCCTTTATTTAATAAAAAATCGGCAAACCAGCAGAGGGCTATTCTGAATGACATAAAAATTACCCAAAATGAAAGAAGCTTCCTGATTCACATACTCAGTAGGCTGATTGTCACCCAAAGCATGGGACAGACAATTTTATTATTCCCTCCTTTGGAACTCCTCAGGTCATTACACTTCCATCTCCTACACAGTTAGTCTCATATCCAAAAAGCAAGACAGAAAAGTGTATCTCTAAGAGCAATGAAGCTATAGTTAAGCAATTAAAAATACTTACTCACTCACCTGTGATTGGAGATATTGAGCAGAGATTACCATTCAGACTCTGAGAGACTGATATGGGGCTGTTTTTAAGAATACAACGAAGTAACACAAAATAATGTTCCCTACAGAGTCTGTGCTGATAAACTTCTGAGTGATGGGTTTTCTAGGTGAGTGCCAAGACTCTACTCAGTCCCTGAAGGCCAGTGCATGGGACTGGAGTGAGTAAGGAAAATGCCCTTTGGATTAAGAAGATCCCCACATCTTATGGGAATATTTCAAGAGCCTCGGAGACACACGTTGGGGATCTTCAAGCACAAGTCCTGAGACTCACTACTTCTGGTTCCTGCTTCAACCCCTGAGCATCTATTTGTCTTCTAGTGGCTCTGTTGCCATCATAATTATGCTTCAGAAAGTGTCCTGTGGAGTCCGACCTGCTCCAGGTGGACCACTACCTCCTGGCCCACATCTGTCTAGTGAGAAACAACCCACATGCTTCCCCTATTAACACAGGAAATGCAGTTCTCTAGATTTTGCTTCTTGGCCATGTAAGAAATATCAGTCTTTGGACTCCAAAATTCCAGATGTAGAAATCAAGCTCTCTAACTGGTTTTTCTCTCAGCTTAAATTAGGAGAAAGCATCCTCATTTCCTCCTGGAGGTGGGGGAAGCTTACATTGCACACTACTTCGCACTGAAGAAATATTCTTCAGCCACCGAAGACTGATTAGTCCTCCAAATATCTATTCCTTTGCATGTTATGTGTTCTTGAAGATGTATCAAAAACTCACTAACGAATATACAGTATCCATATATTTTGTGATAGATTAAATATTAATTTTGAGCATGACTTGTAAATTAAAAGTATAATTGCTTGATTAATTTTGATCCTATAATTATTTAAGAATTGAGGCAGCTAAGTATGCCACTATCACATAAAAACAGAATTTCTGAATCCTTTGACCTCTAATGATTATATTGCCTGCCCTTTAAAATTAAGAATTTGGATTAAAGAAGAGTTATTTCTCCCAGATTCATATGGTTCTTAATCATCACCTATGGCTTAAAATCAAATCTCAATTCTCAACAAATTAATTACCTACTAGGCATTATCCAATTTCATCACTTGCTAAATTCTTACCGGCTGACTTGGGTACACACAGCAAGAGAGTTATCATCTGAAGATATCTATGAGTGGTTATTTCACTCCAAAAACAGACGATAATAAATTTTGCATTATTCATTTATTGTATCTAACATTCATTACCAATAAGTCTTTTTAAATTTTTTTATTTTATATTTATTTTTAGTTTTTACTTTTTTAAAAAAATTCAACTTCTATTTTAGACATAGTGGATATATGTGCAGATTTGTTACATGGGAATATTGCATGATGTTCAAATTTGGAGTATGGATCTCACCACCCTGGTAATGAGCCTAGTACCTGGCTTGATAGGCAGTTTTTTAACCCATCCTCCCCCATCCCTGAAGCCTCTGGTAGTCCACAGTGTCTATTGTTCCCATACCTATGTTCATGTGTGCTCAATGCTTAACTCCCACTTATAAGTTACAACATGCAGTATTTGGTTTTCTGTTCCTGTGTTAACTTGCTTAGAATTATGCCCTCCAGCTCCATCCATGTTGCTGCAAAGGACATTATTTTATTCTGTTTTTATGGCTGCATAGTATTCCATGGTGCATATGTAACACATTTTCTTTATCCAGTCTGTCATTCCACATCTTTGCTATTGTGAGCAGCGCAACAATGAACATGTGAGTGTATGTATCCTATTGGTAGAATGATTTATTTTATTTTGATATATACCCATTAATGAGATTGCTGTATTGAATAGTAGTTCTGTTTTAAATTATTTGAGAAATCTCCAGACTGCTTTTCACAGTTGCTGGACTAATCCACATTCCCACCAACAGCATATAAGCATTCCCTTTTCTCTGCAGCTTTGATAGCATCTGTTGTTTTTTGACTTTTTAAATAGTCATTCTGACTGGTGTGAGATAATATCTCACTGCAGTTTTGATTTGCATTTCCCTGATAATTAGTGATGCTGATAATTTTTTCGTATGTTTGTTAGCCACATGTATGTCTTCTTTTGAGAGTGTTTTTTCATGTCCTTTGCCCATTTATTAATGGGATTATTGGCTTTCTGCTTGTTGACTTGTTTAAGTTCCCTATAGATTCTGGATATTAGGCCTTTGTCAGATGCATTGTTTGTGAATATCTTCTCCCTTTCTGTAGATAGTGTGTTTGCTCTGTTGATAGTTTCTTTTGCTGTGCAGAAGCTCTTTAGTTTAATCAGGTCTCACTTGTCTATTTTTGTTTTTGTTGCCATTGCTTTTGGTGACTTAGCCAAAAATCTTTTGCCAAGGCCGATGTTGAGAAGAGTATTTCCTAGGTTATCTTCCATGATTTCTATAATTTGAGGTCTTACATTTAAATCTTTAATCAATTTTGAGTTAACTTTTGTATAGGGTAAAAGGTAGGTATCCAGCTTCAATCTTCTGTATATGACAAGGAAGTTATCCCCGCACCATTTATTAAATAGGGAATCATTTCCCCGTAGCTTGTTTTCTTCTTATAAATCTAGGAGTTTGGGGTGTCTTTGCTTTTTATGATGTATAATAAGGGATTTACCAATAATGTGTGCTCTCTAACATTAAATCAGCTGTTTTTTTCCAGTGAATAAATTGAGATTAAATGAGTGTACGTGACTATAAATGGCCATAACAAAAAAGAAATAGATAGGGTAGAGACAAAAAGGAAAAAAAATTTCACTTCCTTTTTAAAGATGATCTATTCAGAATAATAAAAATGAGGTGAAAATAGGAAAATATTATTAAGAGCAAAATAATAGTAGAATCAACTCTTTTATAGAGATATACTCATAGAACAGAGTAGGAAAACAGGGACATCATACACTGAAATATTTGCTCTGTTTGTTTCTACAAAAAAAGGAGAAAAAAAGTTAACAAAGTGTGAATTTAAGATAAGGCCTGGAGTGCTGGCTCACACCTGTAATCCTATCACTTTGGGAGGCAGAGGCAGGAAGATCCCTTGAGCCCAGGAGTTCAAGACCAGCCTGGGAAACATAGGGCGACTCTGTCTCAATTTAAGAAAAAAAAAATATAAGCATCAACCCTGAACAGTATTGCCAGCTACATATGTTGTACCTCGATCAGGAGTGACTACATTAGTGCCTGTGATTTAGATTATATCACACTAATGTTATTGATACTAGAAAGTAGTCGTGTGTACCCACAACAGATAGGAAGATCTACATTCCGCAACCTCAAAAATAATGATTTTTGTGTTTCATTACTTGCCATAATAAAGTAACGAGATTTTCTCTCCTGATTAAACATCTAAAAAATGGAATAAAATATATAAAGCAATGATTTTAATACACTGTACAAGACAGGGTTGGGTATGTCCCATGACCCATCAGCCTGATTGGAACAGCTTGTAATAGACAAGGACTTAGGTGGAGTCCTGAGAAGGATATTACCTTAGTAGTGGGGGCTAAATTAATCTCAGAATAAACAATGTTCTGGATCTACCTTAACAAAAAAAAAAGTATGCCTCAAAATAAGCATAATAATTTAGGGGAAATACAGACATAAAAAGAGAGAGATTTTTTTAAAGACCCACATAGAACTTGTTTAAATAAAAAATACAAAATATAAAGTGAAAAATGCAGTGCATGGAATAAACAGTAGATTAATTACTGCAGAAGAAAAAATCAAGGAACTTGGAGATATAGATATAAAAACAATCCAAAATGAAGCACAGAGAAATCTTTTTAATAAAATGGACAAAGTATCAATGACCTATGTCATAATTTCAAGCAGTCTAACATATGTGCAAGTGGAGTACTAAAGAAGTGTTTGATTAAAAACATTGAAGAAGTAATGACTGAGTTTTTCCAAATTTGATAAAATATATAATCTATAGATCCAAGAAGCTCAATAAAAATTAAATAGAATAAATATTAGAAAACTTTACAATGAACATCATAATCTATTTGCTAAAAAAGTCATAAAGAAAAATCTTAAAATCAGCAAGAGAAAAATCAACACAGTTATTACAAAGGAATAAAGATAAGAATGGCAGCATGCATCCCACCAGAAATTATGTGAGACAGGTAATGGAGCAACAGCTTTAAAGCACATAAACAAAAGTCTGGCAATTTAAAATTTTATATACAGAGAAAACATCTCTTAAAAATAAGGGCAAAGTACTTTTTCATGCCAACAAAAGCTGAAGTAAATTATTACCAGCAGAACTTTACTACAAGAAATAGTTAAGGAAAGTCTTTAGACAACAACAACAAAAAAATGATACGAGATGAAAATCAGTGTCTCCATGAAGGGACCAAAAGTGCCAGAAATTATAAATATGTGTTTAAGTGTAAAAGACATTTTTATTATTTTTAATTACCTTAAAAATAATAGAATTTTTCAAAAAAAACAGAATTGCAGTATCTTGGATACTAATAACATAAGTAAAAGTAAAATGTGTGACATTAAAATCACAAAGCATGAGCAGGGAGATGGAAGTACAGTATGGCATGACTCTAGCAATACATCTTAAATGGTGTAATATTATGTGAAGAAATATTTTGTGAATTTAAAATGTACATTGTAAACCCCAGAGTAACCACAAAAATATAAAATAAAAAGGTATAAATAAAAGGACAATAGTGAAAATATAATGAAATCATAAAAATATTCCCATAAAAAACAGTAAATGAAAGAAGAAGCAATAACGGACAAATAGGACAAATGAAAGGCAAACAGTTGGAGGACAAATTTAAATTTAATTCTATCAAAAATTTAGTTGGAGGATAAATTTAAATTTAATTCTATCAAAAATTTATCAAATTTAAATTGTGCAAACACTCCAACTGAAACAAAGAGCTTGTCACATTGGCTTAATGGGTATGAAAATGCAGTTAGATAGAATGAAGAACTTCTAGTATTCAACAGTAAACTAATGCAGGGACAGTAATGTAGGTTTAGCTTGATTGTGGTAGTCTCTTCACAATGTATACATATACTAAAGCATCATGTTGTGAAGCCTAAATATATGCAATTTTTATTTGTTAATTATACTTCAATAAGCTGGGGAAAAACAAGATATTTTCAATGGCTAGAAAAATCTCTCCCTAAAATTAAATACCCATTAAAAATTCTCTTCAAGAATTAAGATTAACAAAAATGATATTCTAGATAAAAACTGTTGTGAGAAAAATTATCATCAGTACTTTCCTGCTGAAGGAAACACAAAAGGAAAAAAAATAGGCAAAAATAAAGATTATCTCATATGGAATTTCAGTAAGATACTTCTATTACTTGGAAAATTCCAAAGGTTTTTGTCCTAGGAGAAATGCCACATTCTTTTTTACACAGCAGATTCCTACTCTAACCCTCCCCATACTTCCTACCTCCTTAGTTCTCCTTGCCACCGAATTATCCTGACATATGTACTTACGCGTTTGGTTATTTGGGGCCTCCATCACATTAAACTTTATGTTTGATGACATTATGGAATTTGTTTTGCTTGCTCCTGTGTTTCTTGAACCTACTACACTGCCTAATATAATATGTGCTCAAAATTTTTGAAAGAAAAATATAAACCAGGTAAACAAATCATTTCTTACAGTGAAGTGATGGAAATCAGTCTTAATAGAAATCAGATATCCCTCATTAGTCCTAGTGGTGTTGCTGCCAGTCTTTAAACAACTTCCTACCAAAGATTTTCTTCAGAGCCATCATCACTTCTTTGTTCCTAAGGGTGTAGATTAGTGGATTCAGTACAGGGGTGACGGCGCTATACATGATGGCCATTATCCGGTCCTGAATCATGGAGGTGGCTGAAGCAGGACGAATATATGTGAAGCCCACAGGTCCATAGAAAAGACATACCACCATAAAATGGGAGGCACAAGTGGACAGAGCCTTGTGGAGTATTCTGCAGGACCTGTTCTTAAACAGAAGGAAGCCAATTACATAGAAGCAGGAGAGAAGAGTCAGAAAGAAAGCTCCCATGGATATGCTGCCTGTGACAATGGAAAGAAGCCATTGATTGAGTAATGTGTCACTACAGGCCAATTCTAAGAGCGGCTTGACATCGTAGAAGAAGTGATTGAGTTTCTGAGAGCCACAAAAACTCAGGTGTGCAGTCATGACAGAATGCATCAGAGCGTAAAAGAAGCTGATGAGCCAGGCCGCAGCTGCCAACAGAATACACACCTGGGGGTTCATGATGACAGTGTAGCGAAGAGGATTGCAGATGGCAACAAAACGGTCAAAGGCCATGATAGCCAGTAAAATGGCCTCTGTGCTTCCCAAAAAGTGGAAGAAGTGTAGCTGGGTGATACAGCCTAGAAAAGATATAGCCCTGCGACTGCACACGAGGTTTACGAGCAGCTTGGGCAGTGTCACTGAAGAATAAGAAATATCCAGACAAGAAAGGTTTCCCAGAAAAAAATACATAGGGGAGTGGAGTTGTGGTTCCAAAACAACCATCACCAATATAGATCCATTTCCAATCAAGTTTATCAGGTAAATGATTAAGAAAATCCCAAAGAAGAAAGGCTGCAGCTCCTGAACACCAGTCAGGCCAAGTAGAAGAAACTCATTCATTGTAGTGACATTCTCCATTGCTCTGGGAAGCAAATTTAACAATAACAGAATTAATTTTTCTGAATTTTTAATTTTACACTGTGAGGATTAAATAAAGCAAGTTTACTATTTGGAGGAACCTAGGGGTGAGCAACAGTGTGAAGAATAGTTACGAACAGTAAAACTAAATTTATGTACAACAAAATTGAGGAAGACTAATATACCTGATAAATTCTGAGCTGTTAAAATGGCACTAGACTAATAAAAGCATTATATTATGAACAAATCAGATATAGATAAAGGGCATTTGTTTTCAAAACTAGGAAGTGCAAGATTTGATGGACATAATCATAACCTCATGTATGGCATTAGAATTATGTATTACAAAAATTTTAAACATACAAACAGGGAATAGTTTTTCAACTTATGATTCTAGGTTCTGGCAAAAATTCAGATGTAGCTCAGTGGGGATTTCATCACTTCTTCTAAGATACATAAAAGCCACAAGAGAGTAACACATGTCTTCTGACAACCCAAACTTTCAGTGAAAGTAAGAAACATAAACACCCACAAACCAAATGTTGTATGAGTAGAGGAGAAAAAAACAGCAAAATTAGCATCATTAGTCACAAGACTGTGTCATAGCAATGAGGCAGTGGATGTAGTTGGGAAAAACTTGAAATAGTTAGAGGTCCCATTAGTAGAAGAACTTCGAAAACACCCCCAATTTTTCAATCCAAAAGGGGAGTACCTCCCAGGGAGTGAGAATTTCTGTGGGGCAGGGGATAGAAAAAGGCACAGTCTAAGCACTGAAGGTGATGGAGAGAAGAGGTATAGTAAATATATGAAGAACAAAGGAAGCTTGTCATTTGTAAGTAATTAATAATAATAATAATAATAACAATAATAATAATCACCACCTTATCAACAGAAGAGGGAGCCCTTGCACTGAGGAATTGGAAAGGCTAACTAGGATACTCCTCCCACCCATGCCTACTAAGATTCTTCTGCTAATAATTGGTCCACAATATCATAAGTTCTCCAGTGTAAGTTCTCCATAAAATAACTCTAAAAATAGACAGAAATAAAGACATAGTTAAAACCACAATCACAATGAGAAGATTTAACAAGTTTCTCTCTATACCTGACAGAAGAATCAGCCAAAAAGTCAGTAAGGATATAAACATCTGAACAACATAATTTACAAATTTGATTAACATATAAAGAACACTGAACCCAACCAAAAAATAATTCACATTATTTTCAAGTATATCTTGTACATATTTACAAAATCAAGCATGAGTTGAGTATTACCAAAAGGCTTCAAAAGGTTTCAAAAGGTTGAGCTATTCAAAGAATGTCCCTTGACCACACTGGAATTAAAAAACAATAAGAAAAATGCATCTAGAAACTCACCAATTGCTTCATATTATGTAATACACACAAATAATTCATAAAGAAAAAATTCAAATAAAATTAGAAAAAAATTGAAATGAACAATGATGAAGATGAGATATATCAAAACTTTTGGCATATAGCTAAAGAAATAAATAGAGGGAAATTGTCAGCCTTAAATGCATATGTTAGAAAAAAAGAAATATTGAAAAACCAATAACCTAAACTTTCATTTCAAACAGCTAAATGAATGAATGCATGAATGAATGAACAAATAATCCAACAACTCAAACCTAAACAAAGTAGAAGGGAAATAGCTAAAATAATAACAAGAATAATTGAAATAGAAAACAAAAGTTCAATAAAGAAAAGTCAACAAAGTCAAAATTTAGTCATTTGAAAAGATTAATGAAAGTTATCAACTCAGTAAAATTGTTAAAAGAGAGAGAGAATACAAATTTTAAGCTAGTATCACTACAGATACTATCAACGTCAAACATTGTAAAAGGTCGTTATGAACGACTTCATGCCCAAGAATTTGGCAATTTAAATAAAATTTTAAAATTACTTAAACCAAAAGTAACTTACCAAAATTGACAGTAGAAGAAAGACAATTTCAATAGTTTGATATTTATATAGGAAAGTGTAGTTCTTATTCAAAATTTTTCCAGAAAGGAAACACCAAGTCCAGATTTTACTGGTGAATTCTACCAAATAATTAAGGAAGAAATAATAACTTACACAAATACTTTCAAAACAATGAAAAAGGAGCACTTCTATATTTCTTTTATAAGGTTAGCACAACTTTGATACCAACACTTTAAAAAGAACTCAACAGAGGCCAGGCGCGGTGGCTCACGGCTGTAATCCCAGCACTTTGGGAGGCCGAGGAGGGCGGATCACGAGGTCAGGAGATCTAGACCATCCTGGCTAACATGGTGAAACACCGTCTCTACTAAAAATACAAAAAATTAGCCTGGTGTGGTGGCAGGAGCCTGTAGTCCCAGCTACCCGGGAGGCTGAGGCAGGAGAATGGCTTGAACCCGGGAGGAGGAGCTTGCAGTGAGCTGAGGTCGCGCCACTGCACTCCAGCCTGGGCGATAGAGCGAGACTCCATCTCAAAAAAAAAAAAAAAACAAAAAAACTTAACAGAAAGGAACTGCAGACTAACCTGTCTTGTGACTATAGATGCAAAAATCTTGAAAAAATGAATAAAAACAAGCAATATCTACATCGCAACCAAATAAAATTTATTTCAAGATGTAAGGGTAATTTAACATTAAAAAATAAATTAATACAATAGCCATATTAGAGAAAGAAAACAAGAAACACCACAGATGCAGTAAAAGCATTTGATTATATTTAGCACCCACTCATGATTTAATAAAATAATCCTTAGCAAACTAGGGATACAAGGGAAATTAGTTTATTTGATAAAATTAATAAAAAATACCATAAGAAAAGATCATACCTAATGAAGAAACATGAAAAGTTTCAGATCAGGAATGAGACAAGGATTTCTCCTATCATCACTTTTTTGAACATTGTCCTAGAGGTTCTAGCCAGTGTCATAAAGCAAGAAAAAAATAAATAAAATACTTTAGAATTAGAAAGGAAAAAATAAAACTCATTTTCATAGATGATATGCCTGTATGGTTAGAAGATTTCTGAGATATGAGGACATTAAACAAGAATTAAATATATTTTATATGCTAACCACAATCAAATGAAAATAAAATGTCCAATGATATTTTCAATAGCATCAGAAACAATAAATGTATAGAAATAAAACTAAACAAAAATATGTAAGATCTCTATCCTAAAAACTACAAAACATTATTCTGAGGAAATAAAGAATATCTAAATAAATAGAGGAATATGGTATATTCATGGGCTGAAAGATATACTATAATGAAGATGTCTACTCTCCTAAAAGTAATCTGAAAAGTCAACGCAATCCCAGTACAAGTCCCTGATTTTTAAAATATAAAATTGTCAAGCTGATTTTAAAAGTTACATAGAAATGCAAAGGAATGGGGAACCTGAAAACCCCCTGGGGCTGGGTTCTCACCTGCATCTGGAGACCTTCCTGAGCCCCCAGCAACAAAACCACAATGCAGTGCCACTGCACAATAACTAGAACAGTTAAAATAAAAAAGTGATGGAAAACACCAAGTGTCAACAAGGATGTAGAGCACCCTGAGCACTCATATACTCCTCCAGGGAGTTTAATCAGCATAGTGATTTTGGAAAACAATCTGGCAGTATCCTCAAGCTAAACATACGCATATATGAATAAGCCAGAAATTCCATTCCTAGGTATATAGCCAATAGAAGGTGCACATACCAAAATATATAAAAATGTTCATAGCAGCAATATTTTTTATCAAAAACTGACAACTATATAAATGTCCATCAACAAAATGAAACATTGTGAAGGAGTCAAAATGAACTACAGCTATATTAAGTAATATGGATGAAGCTGTTTCTTCATGTGGGTGTGTTGGTTATACAGATATGTCATTTTGTGAAAATTTATTGAGACTCAGGATTTATCCACTTTTCTGTATGTGTGTTGTACTTTATATGTCATATAAACTTTTACAGAAAAAAAGAGAATAAGGGAGGAAACAATAATCTTGGATTTGGAAATGATTTTCTAAATATCATAGAAAAACCTGAAGCAATAAAAGATTACCAAATTTGACTACATAGGCATCGAAAATGTCTGCATGACAAAAATCCTACAAATAAAAGATCAAAACGCATCCAGGAATAAAATCACAAAGCAAATTGTAGACCATGTGCTAACATTCTTAATATATAAATTATTTAATAAACCTAAAAGACACAGACCAATTTTTTTTAAAGAGAGAAACATACAGACAATTTATAGAAAAGGAAATATGAATAGATCTTAAAGATAGGAAAAGATGCTCAACCTCATTAAAAATAAGAAAAATGCAAATTGAAATATGACATGCAGGCAAGCGCTACAGCAGGCTGCCGTGAGCACTGTAAAGAGCACCAACGCGCTGCACCTCGACTCCCACCCCACTTAGTCACAAGCACATGCCCATCTGCTCAAGGCATGTTCTGCCGCTGCCCAGCTCAGGTCTAAGCACCCAGCAAGTTTGAGATTTTTCGAAATAAAATAACTTAAAAACAGTGATTTTGACTTCCGGATAAGATGGTATATACAGGTTTCTCCCATCTCCCTTCCCATTAAGTACAACTACAAACCGTAGAAACAATACAAGAGGTAACCAAAAAAGAATTCTCAAATGTGGGAAGGTGAACTGCTTTGGGATTCCAGAACTGTAGGAACCACACAGCAGCAGGGCTGTCCCTTCACCCAACTAAAGAAGGCAATTAGTTTATTTGACAAAAAATGTTTGCCTCTTCCAACACGCCATCCCACAACAAAAGGCAGCCTAGGTAGGTTTTTTCCTGCCTCCTATCAAAAGGTAGTTCCTCCAACAACACAGCACTTGAGTAAGGGGGGCCCATCAGGAATTCTACTAACCCAGAGAAGTACTCTACTCAGCTCCTCTCTCCCTGCTGTCTGGCATTCTCTTCCCCTAAAGAGAGACAACAGGGCAGTCAGGTGGCATCTGGAGAAGGACCCCACCATAACAAGCATCCTGGCCCTCTGGCCCTGCAGGCCTGAGACTTCCTTCTGCCACCCACAGACACCAGAGTGAGAAAGGGGGAAAGAGGGCACCAGCAAGAAATATTCCAATTTGACAATCATCCAGCAAGTAGCAGTCTCTGTCCGGCACAAGCAGGCAATCCCGCCACAAGCACCCCGACAGGGAAGCCTCTTTGTCCTCATAGTCTTGATATTCTCTCCACCGCACAAGGACACCAGAAGGCCTAGCCTAAGGAAATCCCTTCTTCTGCCTTCTCAGGCAGTACCAGCAGAGAACAATGGAAACCCCAGTAGTACCAAATAAAACTAGAACACAAAAATAACAGCTAAAAGTCTCTTAAAAAATTGCCATTGGATGCACAGCCTACAAAATTAGGTCAGGACCTGTGTGCTAGGTCTAAACAGAGTGACTATCTGCTAAAATTAAAGATTTAAACAGGACCTAAATTCCAGTTTATAGTTCTGTAATAGCCAAAATGTCCAAGATACAATATTTTAAAACTCTACCTGTTATAAATTATAGAACTGGAAAGTTCAGTAACAGAAATAAAATCTCACTGAATGGGCTCATTAGTTAAGTGGAGATGACCAAGGATGAAATCAATGAGCATGAGGACAGATCAACAAAATGTAGCCTATCTGAACAATGGGAGAAAACAGACTGAGAAACAATGCAAAGAACCTCGGGGACCTATGGGACAATAACAAGAGATTCAACTTTCATATCATCAGAGCTCCAGAAGAAGAGGAGAAAGAAAATAATGCCAAAGGGTATTTAAATAAATAATAGTTTAAAACTTCCCAAATCTGTTGAAAACATAAGCATATACAGGTTGAAGAAGCTGAATAAACCCCTTGCAGGATTAATCTAAAGAAATCCAAGCCAAGAAACATCATAATTTGATTAACATTACATATACTATTATACTATATAGCATGTGTATATATAAACACACAAACATAAATATATAGAGTAATATGCAGTTCAACTCCAAGGACAGTACGAAACAAAAAAAATACATTCCAATATCTCTCATGAATATAGACAAAATATCCTCAATCAATTATTAGAAAATAGAATGCAATATGTAGAAAGAATTTACATAGGCCAAGTGGATTTATTTCAGGTGTACAAGACTACATAGACATTTGAAAATCAGTAAATGTAATCTATCATATAAATAGAATAGAGAAGAAAAATTATATGATCGTATTAATTGAGGCAAAAAACAAATTTGATAAAATCCAACACCCATTTATGATAAAAACTCTCAGCAAGCTAGGAATAGAGAGAAATTGTGTCAACTCAATAAAGATCATCCATAAAAATCTTCCAGGTAAATGCTTTCCTTCTAAGATTAGGAATAAAGCGTGGATGTCTGCTCTCACCACTTGTAGTAGGCAAGAAAAAGAAATAAATGACACATATATTGAAAAGTAATAAATACAAATGTACTTATTTTCAGATGTCATTATCTATGTAGAAAACTCCCTGGATTCCACATAAAAATTCCTATAGCTAATACATGAGTTCAGCAAAGTGACAGGATACAAGATTAACACAAAAAATTAAATATTTTTAATAAACTATGAATATGTGAAAACCAAAATTAAAACACAATTTAATTTATAATCTCTCAAAATATGGAAATATCTGGCTGTAAATCTAAAAAAAATGTTTAGGAGTTGTATGCTAAAAACTTCAAGCACAGATGAAAGAAATAACAAAAGATTTACATAAAGTTAGAGACATATTATATTCATGGATTGTAAGATTTAACATAGTAAAGATGTCAATCCTCTCCAAATTGATATACAGGTTTAACACAATTCTTATCAAAATCCCAGAAATATTTCTTAGTAGACATAGATAGGATTATTCTAAAATGTGTATGTAAAGGCAAAGGAAATTGAATAGCTAACACAATTTGGAAAAAGAAGAATAAAAGTGGAAAAATCAAATTACTCAATGTTAAAGCTTATTATTTAACTATAGTTATCAGGTTTTGTATGGTATTAACACAAGTGATAGTGAAACAGATCAATGGAACAGAATAGAGAACCCATAAATCAGCCCACACAAATATGTCCAACTGATTTTTTATGAATGTGCAGAGTAACTCAATGGAAGCAAGACTGTCTTTTCAACAACTAGTTCTGAAATAATTGGACATCCATAATAGAAAAGAAAAAACAAACTAAATTCAAATTTCACCTCATATACAAAAATTAACACAAAATAGATCATGGACTTATATGTAAAATGTAAAGCTACATATCTTCTAGAAAAAATAGAAAACAGTATTCAGGGTCTAGAGCTAGGCAAGGAGTCCTTAGATTTTCCACCAAAAGCATGACACATTAAAGGAAAAATTTTAGTTTGACCTAACCAGAAAAAAAAAAAAGCTCTGCCAAAAGACTCTATTAAGAAAATGGAAAGACAAGCTGAAGACTGAAAAAAAGAAATACTGTTTCAAATCACATATCTGAGAGAACTCTCAAAACTTAATAGTATTCTTAAAAGTCCAAAAACATGGGCAAAAACTAGGAAAAGACATACAAACATAAACAGAAAATGATATATAAATGGCAAATTAACACAGGAAAAGGTGTTCAAAATCATTTTCATCAGCACAATGCAAATTAAAACCAGTAAAATGCTACAACACATCTATCAAAATAGATAAAATAAAAATAGTGACAACACCAAATGCTAGGGAGGATACAGAAAGACTGGATCATGAATATAAAACTGGTCAGGATATAAAATGGTACAACTGCGCTGGAGAGAGTATAGTCGTTTCTTACAAAATTAAACATACACTTACTATATGACCCAACAATTGCACGCTTTGGAATTTATGTCAGTACAATAAAAACATGTTCACACAAAAACTTGTATGTGAATGTTCATAGACTATTTGTAATAGCCAAAAACTGGAAATACCCCAAATGTCCTGCAATGGAGAAATGCTTACACAAACTGTGGTATATCCATACCATGGAATGCTACTTAGCAATAAAAAGAAAACAACAATTTGGTAAACTCTCCAGGAAATTACGCTTAATTTTTTAAAAAGTGAAATCCAAAAAATTATATACTGTATGATTCCATTTATATAACATTTTTGAAATAATATTTTAGAAATGGGGAAAAGATTGGTAGTTACAGTTGGAGAATGAAGTTGGAGAAGGAGCAGAAGAGAGGTGTGTGTGGTTATGAAAGGATACCAAGAAAGATCCTTGTGGTGGAGGAACTATTCTGTATTTTGACTATGATGGCAGATACAGGAACATGAGATAAAACTGTGTAGAATTAAACTCAGATACACAAAACAAATGAATACAAATAAAACTGGGGCTATCATTAAGATTCATGGGTTGTATCAGCATCAATATCCTGATTGTGAAACTGTGCTGCAATTTGTTACCATGGGGAGGAACCATGTAAAGGGAAAACAGCATCTTTGTGTATTTTTTCTTACAACTGCATATTGTAATCATACATAAGATTTTAATTAAATGGCAAATCATATTTGTACAAAGATCAAAATACTTAATAAATTATATGTGTTTGAGAATGGCTAAATAGGAATTTCTGATGATAATTTGTACTAGTTATATGCTGGGTAATTTTTTCAATAGCTCTCAAAGTTGAAAATTGTGAATCACATACTTTGTGTTATAATTTACCTGTAGATATTATTCAATGTGTGGAAATCATTATTATATACCATAATATTTATTTGAGTATTTTAAAAGCAAAAATTAGACAGAACCCTAAGAGCCAAAGTAGGGGACGAGGTGAATTATTACACCTATGAGAGAGAATAATATGCAGCTTTAAAATATATATATGTACATATATATACACACACAAAGAAAATAGCCAGGTGGATAGATACGGAAAGGTGCACAAATCATATATATGCAAATTTTTACATATGTACCTATATACATATAAATTATATATGTTATGAATGCCAAGGTGACTTGTTAAATGATATAATCAAGATGCAGCACAATGTGAGTAGTATGCTAAAACTTCTGTTTAACATTTTTTTCTATACGCACATGTACTTCTGAATGGACATAAAAGAAACTGATAACTGTTGTAGTCTCTAGGAAGAGAAACTGGCTGTCAAGGAAACAAAGGCAGAAGAAATACTCTTTTTAGTATATTTTGAATTTTGTACCATGTTCATATATTATGTACTCAAAAAACGAAATTATTTTCTTTAAAAATAAGCATGGCAATACTATGCACAAATATATAGTTGTGAAAAAGAGCAGTGAACTGAGCATCTAAAATATTTAGGCCCAGTAATATTATGTATAAATGGCAGTGTATATGACAAGTACAGTCTGTTTTATAGATGGCAAAGTGGAGACTGTGACTTACTTTGGACTAGAAAGTCGTTACTTCGGCATCTGTTTTACAGATTATACTTGTCATACGCACTTCTCTGTTTTATCAAATCAAAGGCACTATTCCATTTATTCTTTTTTTTTTTTTCTCAAGACTGTCTTGCTCTGTCACCTAGGCTGGAGTACAGTCGTGCAATCTTGGCTCACTGCAACCTCTGTCTCCTGGGTTCAAGCAATTCTCAGGCTTCAACCTCCCAGATAGCTGGGATTACAGGTACGCATCACCACACTGTGCTAATTTTTGTATTTTAGTAGAGACAAGGTTTTACCACGTTGGCCAGCCTGGTTTCTAGTGCCTGATCTCAAGTGATCTGCCCACCTCGGCCTCCCAAAGTGTTAGGATCACAGGTGTAAGCCACCATGCCTGGCCACCATTTATTCTTATAGGTAGAATTTTGCATGTCTGTCTACTCATTGGAATATCAGATTATTAGAGGTGAAAAAAACTGAAAGTATCTTATTCTTCATATTCTTACAGTTCCTATACCATGTAGAAAAACAGAACAATGGTGTAGAAAAATAATCTATAGAATAAAATTGGTCACTTATTCTGGCTATCCATGTACTCTTACAAATGACTGTTATTCTAATATAATAATTAGTAAATATGAAATAAATTCCAAGAAAAAATGAACATAATATTGAAAGAAAGACAAATAGTAATATCTTTAAGTGACTTTGAACTAGTGACTTTGATATCATAACTACATGTCTTCCAAGTATAAAATTTATTCTGGCTATATAGCTTCTAAGAGGGAGATCTCTTGTCTAACCCCCACTCTGAGTTCTAGACTTACCTAATTTCATATTTGACTCTCCACTTGAATTCACACAAAAGCTTGTATTCATATATTCATAGAATCTTTATTCATAACAACCCAAAACTGGAAGTAGCCCAAATGTCCTTTAATGGAGGGATGGTTGAATTCTTTACTGAATTACAAAAATCAACACGTCAAACAGAACGCATCCTCTTTCCAAGCATGCTCTCACAGTGTTTCAACGTAGTGAACAGAATAAAAACCATCTAGTTGTTCAAACCAGAAATGTGAGAACCACATTGATTTCTCCTTCGCTTCAATCCACTCTCTTTAAGTCAGTCATCAAGTCTCTGAAACATCCCTCAAATTCACGTCTCTTTATCCACACTGCCGCAATCCTGGCCCAAGTCATGATTGCCTTTAAACTTAACTACTTCAAAGCAGCCCTACAGTTCTTTTCTTCCCCTACTCTCAAGCCATCTTCATAGTGTAACCAGAATGATTGTTTAAAGGCCTGCGTTACAGTATAAATTTCTATGTGAAACATTTCAGTACCTTCCAACTGGACAAGCTTACAAACCCTCCATGAATGTCTGTGGCTTATCTCTTCAGTCTCACCTTTTATATTACTTGGATGTGATCCTACTGGATATCTTCCAATTCCTCAAATATATCAAGGTGTCCCTTGACAGGGACTTCATTCATGCTTGTCCTCCCTGGATCACTCTTTACTTCCCCTGTCCCTTTTTTTTTTTTTTTTTTTGAGACAGAGTCTCGCTCTATCGCCCAGGCTGGAGTGCAGTGGTGCGATCTTGGCTCACTGCAAGCTCCGCCTTCCCGGTTCACGCCATTCTCCTGCCTCAGCCTCCTGAGTAGCTGGGACTACAGGCGCCCACCACCACGCCCGGCTAATTTTTTGTGTTTTTAGTAGAGACGGGGTTTCACCATGTTAGCCAGGATGGTCTTGATCTCCTGACCTTGTGATCTGCCCTCCTCGGCCTCCCAAAGTGCCGGGATTACAGGCGTAAGCCACTGTGCCTGGCCTCCCGTCCTTTAATGTAAGAAAATATCTATTTATCCTTTGGGTTTCAGCCTATCTCAAATTAAGTTAGACCCTATTACGATACCCTTCTATAGGTTTCTGTACTTCCATTTGTCTGATAATCATTATTATCCTTCTTCAGCTACTTTCTCCTATCATTAAACTCTAGATTTATTACTCATTACTCACTAGTCATTAATAACTTCAACCCTTCATGATCTCAGTAATAAGCATCCTAGACTCCAACTACCACCAGGTAAATTCATAATTTACTCTCTCCAATACCACAAATCCTATAATCTTTATCCCCTAAATTATAGTTATTCTATTTCATGTTCTTTACTACTCTCATGTACTCACACTCCTCCTTACTCATCTTAAGTTCCATATGCATATTTATAGTCACTTTATAGTAGCATATATCCTTACATCCCTTGACCAATTTGTGCTTCATGTCTTTACCTGGAAAAAGTCAAACCACTCTCTACTTACTCCACATCTAAACCTTTGCAGCTGAACACGATTGGAGGAAAATGCACCTGTGCTCACTTGCCTAGATCTAAATTCATTAATACTCAACTGCATTGAAATCTTGGGAATGCCATTGACTCAGCCACCAGGCCCACCCACCTGATGACCCAAGCACTAAGCCATCCTGCCCAGGACTCCAGGAACAAACCTACTTCCAGACCACGCCATATGACCTGCCCAGAATCTCTGGATAGGCTGATGCATGAAGGGCGTTCCCTGCCGAAACAGTCTGTAAAGACTGGAATATATGCCTATTTCTTCAGATGCACAGACACCAACGCATGACCACAAGGATCATGAGCAATAAAAAAAACCCCTGAAATCTTAGAGATGCCAATCAATTACATATTTCCCTTTCTCTTTACAGGCCATACCTCTAACTCTTCTCTCTCATCCTCTCTCTCGGAGAGTGACATTGTTTCTTTTATTTTGGAAAAGTAAAGGCAGTCAGAAGAGAGTATCTCCAAGTTTCATCCTAGTATCTACCCACAGTTTTGTAACTGTGTTCATATACTGTGCATTCACTCTGTTTCTAATGGTTTCATAATTGATACTCCTGATGAAGACCACCTCTTCCACCTGTGTCCAAGAACCCATTCTCTCTCATCTTCTAAGAACACTGCTCCAGTTATTTTCTCATCTCTGTCTTAAATCATGAAAATTTTCCTCTCCTGTACTACCTTTCTACCTCCATTCCATTTCTGTGTTCCCCTTTACAATTAAATTCTGTAAACATTTGCCTATACCAGCTGTTTGCAATCCTCTTTCCATTCCCTCCTACACCTATACCAATTAAAATTTTACCCTCACTCTTCTACCAAAATTTCTTTTATAAACAACACCAATAACAATTACATTAACAAATCAGAAAATGAAGATTCCTCCATTTTTATCAAAGGACATGGCAACACAGAACATAAACATGTATATTTGTAGAAAAAGTAATGGTTTTTAGCCAATAGGTACAGGTTTTTCCACAATTCATTTTTGGCATGACCTGCTCTCAATGGCATTAATAATTCTTATTGATTAATTAGCATCAGTAAGTAGTATTGAATATTTAATTATAAGATTGGTGAATTGACACAAAAACCTAGGAGCTGTATTCCGTGGGTATAGATACAGAATAAATGTTCAAAGTGAAATTATTGATAGTGGAGAGAAGAGAATTAATTTCAGGAATCATAAACATAGCTGAAGGACATTGTAACGGATGCATATAATTAAGGGTTTGGGATGTACGCTTGTGAAACTACATAAGTAAATACTTTATACAACAGTTTCGAAATTATTTTTTCCTAAATAATTAACACCATCCCTCTTCTACTAAAAATAATACTACTGCAAAGTTATATAATTATCTAACATTAAATACAATCTAATATATTATCTAACACGAATTGGAATCTGCTACTTTTATGAAAACTGATTGTGATAGATACTAAAAGGTTACTCACCTATTTTTTTTTACTTCTCCCTCACTTCCTTTTCCCTTTATTTCGTCTCTTTGTAACACAAATATACACACACTACCACTATCTCCATTAAACAGTCGTACACACTCAGACACTTAACTATAACATACATCTATACTTGATCATAGAGTCTGCTGCCCTGAAACCAAAAAAAGTCCAAAAAAAGCATAAGTAAATAGATCAGGAAATTTGAAGCTTCCCTCATAAATGTTTTATGTAATGAGCCCACCTGTTGCATCCTGTAATCTTCATAGCCTATATTCAAAGAGGTTCCTCCGTCACTCTAACCCACTCATTCCAGTGATCTCAACCTCTTTTCATCAAGAGTTTTTCTCTACTATCATAATATCATTTTTCTATTTAGTCTAAGCCAATTTGCTCTGCACATTCCTTTGCACGTATCTTAGTATAAATATAATTTTTGTGTCAAAAGAGTTATCCAAATATCATAGATCAGATGTATTTATTGTGTCCTTGAATAAAGTTATCAGAGAAAGTTCTGACTGCTCAAAACCTATTATAAACACCCTTATTGAAAACAACTTACATGGAATCTAAGCAAATCTCATGTCTTATTATGGACAGAAAATGAACAGGCTAAATCTTCTCAGTAAACCTTCCCAGTAGCATCTTGAGCATTAACACTTTGGGATTTTCTCTCCAAGGACTTATTCTCTTTATATTTCTCTTCCCCTGTGTATCAGTTTATTCCTTCTTTGATGTGCTTATGAGATCACTACATTGATTTAAGTAATAATAATAAATTTTTGGCAGAGCCCTTCATTAGTCATAAGAAAAAAAGAGTGATGATAATATAAAAGAAAGAGAAGACACAGCTCCTATCCTTGAGAAATCTAACATCTAATGAATCTGAAAAGTAATATCACTTAGAACAATATAATGAAAACTAAAAATGATTAATTATAAACTGAGGTCTACAGATATTGAAATGGAAAGATTTAAGCAAATTATGATCAAACAGGGAAGACTAAACAGTGGAGATAAATTTGGTTAACATACTTTTAGGGATTAGTGTTTATATAGATTCTTGGAAGAGACAACTTTATGTATGGAGCCCATTGAAATAATTAAAAACATCTAACTAAAGTCATTATTTGTACTATTATGATCAATGTTCTTTCTTACTGTGAATAAAGAAATGGTAAATTTCCTGAGCCCTATGTTAATTCATGAACAACCAATAAAATCAATTTTATGATTTACTAGAAATATCTCCAAAGTTTTAATTTCAACTATCGCTGTTACTTTAGGGTAAGTGTCAAAGACAAGTCATGTTAACACACAGATTAGTTGTAGGATGAGACTCACTGAAATAGCTCTTAGGAAACTGGGTCTTAGACAATTTAGTTTTCAACAAATTGGCCTATTCCCCTTCAAAGTCCCATACAATGGAGAGTTATGCTGCCAATATGGCCATGAAAGCTCCTTAGAGGAATAAAATGCAAAATAAATAAAACAAAAACTAAACATCCTAGAGAATGATTAAAAGCAAGCATATTTGTGAGTGGAATCAAAGATAGAAAAAAGGGATAGAGAACTAGGTGGGGTTTTTTTTCCTGATATCTGTATCTTTGGTACAGTTCTTATTCATAACCTAAATTGTTTTCCTGATTTCTTTGTATAATTTTTAAATACTGTCTGGTATCTCACTGAGCTGTTTTAGTATCAAAATTTTGAATACTCTGCCTGGGATTGTTGACATTTCTTTTTTATTGGGATCTGTTGCTGGAGAATTATTGTGTCCTTATGTTGATATCTGCATATCTAGTATAACAGTTACTTTTTTAAATTTTTTGAATTTGCTCTCATGGGGAGGACTTTTTCCAGAAGATGTATCTAAGGTGTAGTTTGGGTAGGGTTCTCTGGTTTTGATTCTGGGTGTGTACAATAGTGCAGTCTCTGTATGATTTCTTCATCTGTAAACAGTGTCAGTGGTGTCTGTGATTTCTTTGGTGGCTTAGGATATGGTTGTTAGTGGAGGCTGTGCTGAAGTCTTGCTAAGAACTGAGATGCCAGTTGGGCCAGTCTTCGGCTTCCATTGGTAGAATCAGTGGGATGAGCATGTGTGTCCTTGGGCCCCAGGGCAGCATACACTGGCACCAATGTTAGCGGGTTTAGGCAAGACAGTTCTTGTGCTTCCAAGTGGCTTGCTTGGCTTCTGGGAATGGCATCAGTAGTTCAGGTATGAAGTTGAATTCTTGAGCCCTTTGGCAGTGGATGTGGTGTGGGTGATGGCAGTAGCAGTGGTGGGACAGCCCTCTGGGACCCGTGTAGTCCATGCTGATATTGGCAATGGCTGTGACAGGTTGGGCAGGTCAGTTCCCAGATCCACAGGAGGCACATGAGTGTGGATGTCAGCTGTGGTGCCAGGGGAAGGTTGAGTGGGGCTGACCTCAGATCCCAGGAGGGGTGCTGAGGAGCTACCAGTGATGGACTGGGCTAAGTGACCCTCGGGCCCCTGTACGGTGTGCTCAGATTCTGTGGGTGGGTGAAGCCAGGCTGAGTAGACCTTCCCATGGGCTCCTTGGTGGTGTATGAGGCACTGGCTATGGTAGGCAGGGGCAGGGGGATCCCCAGGCCACAGATGGAATGCTCAGATAGGAGTGGTAGTGGCTGTTTTGTGGTCATGGACTGGGGAGGACTGGGTTGCTTTTCCTGGGAACAACCATAGGCAAGAAACTGGGGAGGCATGGGCTTTGCTCATGCCTCTGCCCCACAGTAGTTCATCATGGCAGCAGTTGCAGGCAGTGAAATTTGTCCTCAGGGCAAGTAAAAATGTGTCGTTGTCCCTCTGGTCGGGGTAACGGGAGGTGGGATTACTCCCTAGGGCTCTTGCCTCGGTCTCAGAAGCAGAGTAAGATGCAGTGCGTTGGGATCTGTGCTGTCAAAATGGTGCCGTGCTGCAGTTAGTTAGGACTTAGGGTTCGTGGGACCCAGTGTGAGGTTCTTTCTTGGGTAGCGCCTTCACGTGGTCTCCAGGCAGCTCCCTATGTTAGTCTCAGGGGCTACGATGGTTGAGGGGATCTCCTGTGGCTAGAATTGTAGGTATCTGTGGTGAAATGTGGGCTGCTGGGAGTCTCCCCCTTTCCCTTTTCCCACATTGGAGAGCCGCTCGAGACTCATATCCGATCTTGGTTGAACAGGCGGTCTCATTTCCTTCTCCTTTGCTTTTGGTGCTTCCTGGTCACTTCTCTGCTGACTTTCGGTGTTCTCTCTTAGATGATCTATTCAACGTGTGATTATTGACTGGTTATTTTGGTTACTTTACATGGAAGGGCCAAGTACCAGATGTATCAAGTCAGCCATGTTGGAGCCTCTCCAGCTCCATTCAAGGGGCCTGTTTTGAGTTGGCCCTAGGCCTTTCCCCGTAAGCAAACTTTCTATAACATTGAAATTACTTGGGAAAAAAAGCTGTCAAAAGACTTTGAGGGTGTTTTGTTTTGTTTTGTTTTGTTTTGTTTTGTTTTGTTTTATGGCGTCTCACGCTGTCACCCAGGCTGGAATACAGTGGCAATCTCTGCCTCCCAGGTTCAAGCAATTCTCCTGCCTCAGCCTCCTGAGTAGCTGGGATTACAGGCGTACACCCCCATGCCCAGCTAATTTATGTATTTTTAGTAGAGATGGAGTTTCACCATGCTGGCCAGGCTGGTCTGGAACTCCTGACCTCAAGTGATCCACCTGCCTCGGCCTCCCAAAGTGCCGGGATTACAGGCGTGAGCCACTGCACTCAGCCAACTTGGAGGTATTTTGGGGAAAAAAAAGAAGTAATGATTTTTCCTAACTTATGAGATATTAAGACCTACAATAACATCATATTACTTAAATTACAGCTTATTCAATGGAAAAAATAGTAAGTGGAGAAACAAACCATGTATTGAGGGGAACTTGGAATAGTATAAAGATGGCCTCACAAATCGATGAAGAAGGAATGGTTAGTCGGTCTACATAGAGACAACCAGAACCAAGACTAGCTGATTATCTCACAGGATATGTAAATATAACCTCTAGAAGACTAGAGTCCTAAATGACAAATATAAAACTCTAAATCTAATTAACAGAACCAGTTACATAATCTTTAAGTTTCAATGCAAGATAAAAAATGATAAAATTGAAGTGGGGGACATTTTGAAAAAATGGAAATTACATTGCAGTGATCCCTAAAACTAAAGAGCCTTATTTTGAATCCTAGTTTCACAATCCATTGCAAGGAAAAGGAAACTTTACTTAAATCCTTTGAGCCTTGGTTTTCTTGTAGTAAAGGAATAATTTTAATACTTTTACATTGGGTTTTTGTGAGAATTAAATGAGCTAATATATGTGAAGAACTCAGAACAATAACTTATACATAATGAGCATGCAATAAATGTTATTTATTTATAATATATTAGCAGTATATAAAATAAGGAATTATTTGTATGTGGAATGGCTCATACCTATAATCCCAAAATTTTGGGGGGATGATATTGGTGGATTGCTTGAGACCAGGAATTAGAGGCTGCAGTGAGTTATGATTGCATCACTGCACTCCAGCCTGGATGACAGAGCAAGACTCTGACTCAAAACAAGAAAAAAAATTAAAGATTTAAAAAAAAAAACAAAATTAAAAAATTAAAATAAGATATTATTGTGATAAATATATATAATAAACTTTTGCCAAGCAACAAAAATGGAAACTCAATAGAAAGACGGAAAAAATACATCACAGTTACAACTGTTAGTAGAATCCTTGGATTGATGGAAGGTCACGCATAGATACCCTGGTGTAATTCAGACAGAATTTTCTTACCTAAAAAATAGCAAAAAGTAATGCTACACATTGGTAAGACCAAAATCCTTATCCCAAACAGAGAAAAATGTGAGCTTTTGGACCCCAAAATTAATTATTTAAAATAATTTAGTATTATTAGCAACAGTGAAGAGTAAGATGTAGAAGGTACAAAAGTAATACTATTTCTCTTTATGTCTCTTTCTTTGGTTTTCATAGAACCACAGTAGAATATTAAAGATAATCATCTTTCTGTACTGATCAATGGAATGTGGGTGACCATATTTATTAATTTTTATTGCCAATTTTCTTTCACTTTATATACCAAAATATTTTCCAAGGGAGCCCTCAAGAAGAGAAAGTGAATCTGAACCTCTACCATAGGAAATGAAAGGAAATTTGACTAGGAAAAAGTATTTTAAATAAACAAATAAATATTTTAAAAAACAGTATTGTGAAAGGTCAAATAAAATATTGGGTTACTATTTTAAAGAAAAAATCCAGCAAATATATTAAGCTATTGAAAACTGTCTTGTCCATGGTTATGAAACCAAGGAACAAACATATTAAGAAAAAAAGATAAGAAGAACGACAACAACAGAAAAGTGGAATTCTACAGAGAAATTCCATATGGCTATCCCCTTATGCTGCAGGTGCAGAGAGACCTCCTGTTTATTCTCACGACAATCCTTCTCAGCACCCAGGGGACAGTTTCTCTCAGGTTTTTATGTCTAGAGATCTGCAGCTCATTGGAAGGCAGGCAGATTTTCAGAGAGGAAAAGATTTTTGAAGATAATTTATGCTGCAATCCCAACATCAACCATCACTTCAAATATTTTTCTATTTATAATCACTGGGAGTATAAATCTGAAAAGCTCTTTTACCTGTGATTCTGAACTCTCAATCCGGGTGAGAGAATAGAATAGGAGACAGGTTGGGAAGCTGCTCGTATTTTTTATCTGTTAATGAGTGACCTGACTGCTTGCGAGTATTAAAGTTAGATGCCCAGGATTTAGAGCTGGTTTCCTATTTTTATGATGGAGTCTTCATTGTAGTTGTAGATTATGAAAGCATTTTGTTTTCCGCACTTTTATTGCCATATCTCCTTCTCTATTCAACATGCCTGGCTCTCTAGATATTCGCTAAAGCAAATCTGAAATCCCTAAATATTGAAATTGCAGTGAAAGAAATATTTTCGTACAGAGAAGTTGGCTAAACAACATTCTTTAAACGTTAGGAAAATGTTGTTTTATTATTTATTATTTTTTAAATTTTCTTTTTACCAAATAGATTTTTGATACAATTTTATTTTATGGGTCAGAGAACCAAAAATAATATTTTATCTATCATTTGTACTTTTAAAAGACATGGTAAAAGTTTTGAAAAATATGCAACATACATGGCTATCAAATAAAGCTACTTTAAATTGTTTGGAGGCAGTCCTTCATGGAGGTGTGGTAAAGGTTAGATAATCTCTCAAAATTTCCTCTAGCTGTAAAGCCAAATATCCTATGGGCTCCCTAGAGATGTTTCCTAGTTCATTATTTTTTTTAACTTTAGTCACACCAAATCCTTTTCTTCTCTCATCAGCAATTTTTCAACCTCGAATTATTCCCCATTTATAGGAAACACTCTAATGTCTGCATCTTTCTTCTGATTTCCTATTGGTTCTTATTCTTTTCTAAGTGCCTGCCATTTCTATGGATTTCCCACACATTCTTGCTTCTTTTCTCCTAATATGCAAAAGTTAATCCACTACATTTGTACAAGAAAGGAACAAACAGGAAGCTATTTCACAAAATTATGTCTGCTTTTGTCAGTGCACCTATAGAAGATAATCCCAAGTACTTTGCAAATAATGTTAGAAAAAACCTTCAAAATATATTTCTGCCTTTCAGTAAACAGTATAAATTTAGTCAAATATTAAACCTCATTATAATTATCTTACTTATAATCCCTCATGTGTTTTAACAGTTACTGAAAAAATTCTATTATTTCAATTCTGCAAAAGAAAGAAAAATGAATACATTTCTTTCATAGAAAATGGAAATTTTATCTGATGGAAAGAAGGGGCAAATAGAGAAAACACATTTTACAAATGAAAAAGGCTAGAAATGTGTGGCAACTTTGGAGAGAACTGGTATGAAGCCAACAGACCTCTGGGTTGATGGAGGAGAACCTGACTGTCAGTGTCACATTGATGAAACTAGAAGAAAAGAGAAAATTCACTTGGATACAATGTTTCTTCACATCTAAAAAGTGAGCTTATTTCAGGCAAAATAAAAATAAGACTTAAGAAAATGCATCACAAGAGAAGACAGAACTTTCAGTGGTCTAAATTCTTAGATACTTTAGAAGAAGACACTATTGGGTAAAATGAAGGAAGAATTGTTGAGTCTATTGGAAGAGTTTTTCTTATTCAGAGATTCAGGGGTGTGAAAAAGGAAAAAGTCTCAGTGCAACTGGAAACTAAAGGAACAATAACATTTGTCATCAAGTAAGTAATTTGGGATTTACTTTGAAAAAATTTAAAGGCTTAGGTAGAAGAAACTAAGCACATTATCTGATATAGCAGTGATAAAACTTCAAATATACCTCAGGCTAATATTTGATTGATGTATTATTTTTTCCTTTCCCAGTAGAGCTCCATGACATTGCCAGAGATGTGGGTTAGAAAGAGATCAGTAAGAGAACATCTCCAGCCTCATCTACGTTCTAAGATGAGAACAAAATAATTACTACTATTTTAAAGAGGTTTTTATATCTCTTTAAAGACTTTGTGATTATAATGAGTTCATTTTTATCTTCCTCTCTTTTTTTTTTTTTTTTTTTTTTTTTGAGACGGAGTCTCGCTCTGTCGCCCAGGCTGGAGTGCAGTGGCGGGATCTCGGCTCACTGCAAGCTCCGCCTCCCGGGTTCACGCCATTCTCCTGCCTCAGCCTCCCATCTTCCTCTCTTAAGTCAAAAAATTTCAGGAGCCATTTTCCTGGGTCAAGAGATATCCAAGTGGTGGTGCACTTAAAAACTGCCCCCTATTAATGCTGACTTGGGATAGGAAAGGAAAGTTGTAACAGAATACGGATGTATTCTTCTCAACCAGAGAAGATGTAAGTTAGCAACATGTTCTAAATCCCCAGAAGAAAGAAATACGTTAATGATAAACTTAATTTTAAAAAGTGGTTAAGTCATAGTCCATAATATGCATGAATCCTTAATATTGAAGAGACCAACAGCTAAGCTTCTATACAACTTCTGAGGTTTGGAAGAAGTACAACAGTACTCTCCTTCCAAGTATCTTTGGCTTGGTGAGAAAATTCTGAGCCGGAAGGATTCTGATTGCGATTAGTGTTCCATAGATTATTTTGTCTTTTGTCTGAAGTGATGCTGAATACAACCTCAGTCACCGAATTTCTCCTCTTGGGAGTGACAGACATTCAAGAACTGCAGCCTTTTCTCTTCGTGGTTTTCCTCACCATCTACTTCATCAGTGTGACTGGGAATGGAGCCGTTCTGATGATTGTCATCTCCGATCCTAGACTCCATTCCCTTATGTATTTCTTCCTGGGAAACCTGTCCTACCTGGATATCTGTTACTCTACGGTGACACTGCCAAAAATGCTGCAGAACTTTCTCTCTACACACAAAGCAATTTCTTTCTTGGGATGCATAAGCCAGCTTCATTTCTTCCACTCCCTGGGCAGCACGGAGTCCATGTTGTTCGCCGTGATGGCATTTGACCTCTCTGTGGCTATCTGCAAGCCACTTCGCTACACTGTCATCATGAACCCTCAGCTCTGTACCCAGATGGCCATCACAATCTGGGTCATTGGTTTTTTCCATGCCCTGCTGCACTCCGTAATGACTTCTCGCTTGAACTTCTGTGGTTCCAACCGTATCCATCATTTTCTCTGTGATATTAAGCCATTGCTAAAGCTGGCCTGTGGGAACACTGAGCTTAATCAGTGGCTACTCAGTACTGTCACGGGGACAATTGCCATGGGCCCCTTCTTTCTGACACTTCTCTCCTATTTCTACATTATCACTTATCTCTTCTTCAAGACCCGTTCTTGTAGCATGCTCTGTAAAGCACTGTCCACTTGTGCCTCCCACTTCATGGTAGTTATTCTTTTCTATGCACCTGTTCTTTTCACCTATATCCATCCTGCGTTAGAGAGCTTCATGGACCAGGACCGGATTGTTGCCATCATGTACACTGTGGTCACTCCTGTACTAAACCCACTGATCTATACTTTGAGGAACAAGGAAGTGAAGGGGGCCTTGGGTAGAGTGATCAGAAGGCTTTGATTTGAATAAACCAGAGAACTCTACTGAGGCATAAATAACCAGCAATGAAAAAGTAGAGATGTGTAATTTTACTGCTTCTCAGATGGTTTATAAGTGTAAAATAGAGGCAACTGGATAAAAGAAAAAAAAGTCCAATCTAGTTGTAGTAAACAATACATTTCTAAGTAATATGAGGAATACTTGAAAATGCAAGACACTAGCCATGGAACCCTAATGCTGAAAATTTTTTGGAATATCAGTTGATGTAATTGACTTATTATGTATTCTAACATGTACTTGTATGCAATTGCATGTAGAATTTTGCCTATATTGCCCATGTATTGTATAGATAGATGATATTTAGGACTGTTTGTCTGTGAGATCCTTTTAGTTTAACACATTTTAGTCTGATCAATAAAATTATTATGCTTTTTTATTTTAAGGATTGTCATGTAGGGCTATGTTTATTCAATTGGAAAAGTAAATGCTAACTTGCATATTATTTAAATAAATTTTAAAGAGGTATGTCATGATTTCTTTTCAGTTCGGTTGGTTTTTGTTCTTTTAATGGTGATTCAAAATGCAAAAGACATAGAAAGATGTCAAATGTTTCTCCCCATCTCTGCCCTCCGTCACTGACTTACTCTTCATATGCAATCAATTTAATCAGTTGTTATCTGTCCTCACAGAGATCCTTTATGCTACACAGTCAAATACAAATATTTTCTTTAAAAAAGAATGGCAATGAACAATACATGTTATATGAGCAAACCAATGTTGAGGGCAATGTGTATCTTGGAGATCTTTCCCTATTAGAACATAGAGCTTCTTTATTTTTTTAACATGCATGGTATATGCCACTTTGTTCATGTATTATATTTGATAGATCAGTCTCCTATCATTGGACATCTATGTTATTTCCAATCATATGTTGCAGTGTATAATCTTGTGTACACGTCATTCTATATATGTGCAAGTCTATTTGTAGGACAAACTTCCAGACATGGAAATGTTAGGTCAAGAGATATCGTTATTGTAATTCAGATAGATACTGCCAAATTGCCCTCCCCAGAGGTTATAAAAAATTTCATCACCACTTGCAATGTAAAAGTGTTTAGATTTTACACTACATTGAATATGAATAATGCCAATGACTTATTTTGTAGATGCTTCCCTGAAAATATTCTACTTTTACAGCCTGGTTATGTAAAAAATGACATCCTAAAGACACTTTCCATAACATGGAAGTCTGCATAATTCTGCCATTGTTATAGAAAGTTTTCAGACTATTTGAAGCCCAAGCAAGATGGCAACTGGGAGAAAGGAAAAGCTAAGATTACAGCAATTCTTGTCATTGTTAGCTGGCACACAGGCAACATGAAGTGTTTTCCCCTACTTCAGCATAAAATACTTAAAACTTTCCTCTTACTACACCAACAGTTATTCATGTGAAAAATTAATCAATTGTGTTGTTTATTATTTTAATCAAAAAAAGCTCTACAGGTGTTAGATTTATGAAAGTCCTGCACAAAATAAAGGAAAGGTGCCCTAAAAGACCCACCGTTTAACTAAAGAAAATGAATCTCACACAGAGGACATGCTGCAGAGAGAATGAGCTACTGAAACACACTAGAATGTTTCATTTCTTTTATGACACAAAAAGAATAGGAAAGAGTGGAAAAAGGGAACAAACTTTTACTAAAAGTTGACAATTTTATTTTTACATTTTATAATACAAATGAAAAATGCTTTTTACTTGGTCCAGAGAGGCTAATAAGTAATTAAATTGAATGACATTGCAACCACTAATTAAGAGATAAAACAACCAATTGTTCAGCTAAGAGTTCTGGTACCTATATCTTCAGAGATGTTTTAGAAGTCAACTGGCCAGACTTCAAGGATTACTATGAAATACCATTAAAAGTGGAGCTAGGTAAAACAAACAAACAAACAAAAAACACCTCAAGAATCACTTTGTATCTCATTAGAGTGTTATAACCACTCGTATCTCTCCACCCTTGGTCATGAAAGATGATGACTTTAAACACTCTATTATTTTGGTTTCGTTTTCCTTTATCTGTCCTTATTTTGACAGACTGTAATGCATGTAATATGATGAAATACAGGTGAAATACAAAAAATTCATGAAAATTTATTTTTCTTTTCCTTTGGTACCAAACTCATACTAAGTGAAAACAATGAAATCATAACTGTGGAAGTATTTCTGGAGCTAATAGACAAGAATAGGTATGATGTTTCTTAGTTTCTAAGTACTTAGAAATGGATTCTGGCTCTGAAAAGATGTGGTATGCCAACATTTGTAACTATTTAGAGATACAAATAGACAAGACTATGGAAGCTAAGTTGAGCGGGTGGGCTGACTATTCAAAACCTCTGCCTTCACTTTTGCAAACCCAAACGATCTGACCTCTCTCTGGTACTTCTTCTATCTTCCAAGTCAACCTTCTTTGGTCCTTCAGTTCCAGTTTTGTTGATGAGAGAATGCCTGTGTGGAGAAGACACTATCCACCTGAACTATCTCAGACTATCACTTCTGTTGCTCAGAGTTTATTGCATAATCCCATCTACATGGAAGCTGTGAACTGTAGGAAAACACATGGGTTCTAGTTATCTACTGCTGCATAACAAATAGTAGCCTAAATCTAAATGGCTTAATTTATTTAATCAAATCCCAGGATTCTGTGGGTCAGAAATTGGGGAGGGCACAGCAGGAAAGGGTTGACTATGCTCAGTGATATCTGGATCTGCTCTCTCTCTCTCTCTCTCTCTCTCTCTCTCTCTCTTTCTCTCTCTCCAGTTTCTCAGTTGACTGTCATGTGCTTCTTTAACAGGGAAGCCTCGGGACAGACTTTTTCATGGGGGACAGCAAACCAAGACAAAAATTGTTAGTTGTCTCAAAGACAAAAACCAAGAACCAGCATTAACATAACTTCTATCATACTCTATTGGCCAAAGAAATCGCAGGCCAACTGAGCTTCTGTAACCTTCAATGGAAAGAGTGTCAAAAATTGTGTGGACATCCTTAATCTACCACAGTCCCATATCTAACCACTAATAATTCATGTTGTTCCCATATGCAAGGTACACTTACTCCTCTTCCTAATAATCTTAAAATCTCATCCCTTTATAGCATCAGCTCAAAGTCTAGGTTTTTAAAATCCAAATCATGACAAAGTGCAAATGGGGCATATTTAGTATGATTCCTCAAGAATGGTTCCTTTTGACCTGAAGACCTTTGAACTTGAAGAAGTCAGGTTATCTTCCTGTCACACACTCAGCACATAATGATAAAGTAGATATAAGATGACAGTAATAGAAAATGTTACTCCAAAAGAGAAAAAATGGGAGGCACATAACAGTTACATAGCAATTGTGAAACCCATTTGGGGACATTTTTCTCACTCCGTCCTCTAGAGTCTAAGATGATGCAATTGAAACTGATGATACCAATAAAATTCTCTCTCTTCTTCTTCTTCTTTTTTTTTTTTTTTTTTTTTTTTTTTTAACACGGATCTCACTCTGTCACCCAGACTGGAGTACAGTGGGACGGTGCAATCTCGGCTCACTGCAACCTCCACCTCCCAGGTTCAAGTGATTCTCTCAACTGAGCCTCCTAAGTAGTTGGGATTACAGGCATGTGCCACCATGCCCGGCTAAATTTTGTACTTTTAATAGAGACAGGGTTTCCACCGTGTTGCGCAGGCTGGCCTCAAACCCCTGATTTCATGTGATCCACCCACATGAGCCTCCCAAAGTGCTGGGATTACAGATCTGAGTCACTGTGCCTGGCCCACCAATAATATTCCTTTTAAAATATTTTAGGTTCTTAGGATTCTTATTTGGGTTTAGTCAATTAGATAAGTACCACACTCATACATCTCCTTAGGACAGGCCTTTCTCTGACTTGGGCTGACAATTAGTGTACTGTGAGACAACACCCTTGAGATTTCTCTCTGTCTGTCTTCATGCCAGTAGAATACTGTTTTATTTACTGTACCTTTGCAACATCTTGGGAAGTCAAGAAGAGTGATACCATCTGCTTTGCTATTCTTTCTGAAGATCACTTGGGCTATTTGAGGTCTTTCTTGAATAGTTTTTTCCATTTCTGTAAAAAATGCTTTTGGGATTTTGATAGTGATTGCATTGAATTCATAGACAAGTTATGGTAGTGTGGACATTTTACAATTTTAATTCTTCTAAGCCCTGAACATAGGTTATGTTTCTATTTATTTGAGTCTTCTTCAATTCCTTTCATCAATGTTTTTACAGTTGCCAGTGTACAAGTCATTCACTTCCTTGGTTAAGTTTATTGCTAAGCATTTTATTCTTTTTTATGCTATTTTAAATGAAATTGTTTTGGTTCTTCCTTTTCTGATAGCTCAGAAAAGCTAGATTGTTAATGTATAGGAATGCAATTGATTTTGTATGTTAATTTTATATTCAATTTGAATGCCTTCCATTTAATTAAAATAGTATAGTACTGAGATAAAGACAGACATACAAGCCAATAGAACAGAATGGAGAGTCCAGAAATAAATGCACATATATATAGTAAACTGATCTTGGACAAGATTGCTGAGAACACACAATGGAGAAAGAATAGTCCCTTCAATAGATGGTGTAGAATAAACTACATAGAGAAGAATGAAATTGGACCCTATCTCATACTATATACAAAATCAACTCAAAATGGATTAAAGATTTAAATGTAAAACTCCTAGAAGAAAAAGAATAAGGAGATAACTTCTTGATGTTGGTCTTGACAATGATTTTCTAGATTTGAAACAACAAAATAAAAAATAGACAAGCAGGACTATGTAAAGCTAAAAAGCTTCTTCACAACAAAGGAAATGATCAACAGAGTGAAAAGTCATCCTATGAAGCGGGAGAAAATATTTCAAACCATCTATCTGATAGGGGTTAATATCTAAAATACATAATAATCTTCTCAACTCAATAATATATACACACACACACACAACTTAAAATTGACAAAATAATTGAATAGGTATTTCTTTAAAGAAGACATATAAATGGCCAACAAGTATATAAAAACGTACTCAATACCACTAACCATCAGAAAAAGGCAACCATAGTCAGATATCACTTAACATATTTTAGGATGGTTATTATAAAAAAAAAAAGTGTTGGTGTGAATGTGGAGAAACTGGATCCCTTATACACTGAATATAGAAATTGCAGCCACTATGCAAAATGGTATGAAAATTCCTTTAAAAATTAAAAATAAATCTACAATCTGATCCAGCAATTTCTCTTCTGGGTGTATAGCCAAGAGAATTGAAATCAGGGCCTTGAAGAAATATGTGCAACACTCTGTTTATTTTGAAATTTTTTACAGTAGACAAAATACAAAAACAACCCAAGTATTCATTGGCAGATGAATGGATAAAGAAAATGAATATATACATGAATATTATTTAACCTTTAAAAGAAGGAGATCCTGCCAATTATTACAATATGGACAAACCTAGAGGATATCATGATAAGTAAAATAAGACAGTCTCAAAAGGACAAATGTTGCATGGCCATGCTTAAGTCAACCTCATAGAAATACAAAATAGAATGGTGATTGTAAAGGAATGTGTAGAGGGGGAGATGGGGAATTGTTTATCAGTGGGTATGGTATAAAGTTCCTGTTATGCAAGATAAATAAGATCTAGAGATCTGCAGTACAACATATTACCTATAACTAGAAAATAGTATTTTGCACTTTAAAATATGTTAACAAGACTATAGATCTCATGATAAGTGCTTTTACAGAAACAAAAACAACACAAAAGAGCATGAGGACATTTTTGGAGGTGGTGGATATGCTTACTACCCTGGTTGTGGTGATGATAGTATGTGTACATATGCCCAAACTCATCACGATGTATACATTAAAGACATATAATTTTTTTATGTCAATTGTACCTCAATAAAGCTAAAATAAGATTTCTGGAAACATTTTTGCCTCTAGCTGGAAATGTTGACAAGGCATGTCCATAAGACTCGTAGTGACCTCTGTGTCTAACATAGAGGGCTTAAGAGGCCTGTCTTAAGATTTTTAGAAACTATTCTAGGCTTCCCCATTATCTTTCTGAGCTTTCAACAATGGGTATTATAGTCACATCCTTGGGATCTTTACCTAAAAACCATACTTCACTAACAGCACCTTGGAATATGATCTTTGCCCTGAAGCCATTTCTTACTTTGAGAAACTTCTACCATCTAGACTATTTAGCACTAATATACAGTTTAATTTTTTGATCCTAGGAAGTCCTGGAATCTAGTTTTCCTCTAAATACTGATTGAAAATTGAATGCCTTGTTTTTTAGTTCATCTTACGTCTGCCCTATTTTGTAATAGTCAGCTAAAAGAATCTGTTGGAACTTTCACTATTTTGATGGTTTTTATGTCAGCTTGACTGAGGATGTCCACACTTTATTTAATTGAGCAGTTTTCTGGATGTGTCAGTGAGGATGTTTTTAGATGAGACTAACATTTGAATTGATAGATTGAGTAAAGCAGATTATCCTCCCTAATGTAGGTGGCCATCATCCAATCAATATTCTGTTGACTCTGTTTCTCAGAAGAACCCTGACTACTACAATCATTCTTCCTAGTAAGCACCTTAGCAACATCTGGGTTCAATAGATATCCTTTCTATCTTCTTTGTTACTGTGGATAGTACATGTCTACTGTACTACATATTACTATAGATAGTGGATGTCTCTCTTGACCGCCAGGCCAACAATTAGAGTTAAATCCCCATAAATTAATTAGGGTTGTGCTAGAGATGTTAAAATAGAAAAGAGATTAAACTGACAGGAGTGCAAATAGTAGTTACAATGTGCCAGCAGGAGTACCATGGGATTGAATTTTGAGTGTGCATGATCAAGGGACTAGAACACTAAACTGGATAAATGAGAATATATTAACTAGGGGACATTGAGTTCTTAGACACGGAATCTGGGGCTTAAGTAAATGTGCTGCTAGTGTGGCTCTTACAAGCACAGGGAAGGCATTGGCCCATGATGATCAAAGTTAAAATTACTGAGTTGCCCTGACAGATGGTATGGAAAGGAATAAAGAGACTCAGGAAAGTGGGGGTATTGGAAGAATATACTATATGTAGGTCAGAAAAGCCACCAGAATATTATGTTCCACAAGAGTACTCAGAGGAGACACACCATTCACAATTCAGAATGCTCTGGCAGAGGCGTTCTGGAATTACTAAGAAATTCAGTGGTGACTCTTTGTAGACCAGGGATAATGGTTACAGAAGTAATCACAGAGTTTGAATTGCTGGAGAAAAGGGGCCTACAGCAATAAAAATATATGGTAGCATTGAACCACTGGAAGCTAGTAGTTGGCAATTGCTGTAATCATCAGTGAGTCAAAAAGGTAGCCAAGTAGTCTTGACCTACAGGAAGCTGTGGTGATGGTTAATATAACATGTGTCCCTAAAGACGAAATTACAGGACAGCTGATGAGGTTGCTGCTTAAAAACTACAATCAAAAGAAGGCAAGAGTAGAGGAACAGGACACTGAGGGTGGTCTCTCTAATAAAATGGCCTAATTTCCTGCTCAGTTCACAGACGCAAGCTAATATTTAGGTGCATAACTTATTACCTGAACATTTAGTCATGTCCTCCAGAAAGAAGTGAACTTCAACATTGTGGTAAGCATTTACTGGAAAGACACCTATAGTTTTTCCCGAGAGGGAGCTAACATTATTTATGCAAATTACTGCACACTGGGAAAGGGGGAATACCCAAATATTTCAAGTACAGTTGTCTGAGTTGACACCGATACTCCAAGAGCCAAAGCATCACCATGGCCCAAATGTTACAATGAGCATACAGAAGCCAGATTACGAATGGAGTCATGTTAAAGTTTAGCTTACAGTACGTCACCCAGTACTGTAGGCACATCCAATAGTCGTTCCCACAGTCACTGGCTATACGATTAGGACTGATATACTTGGCAGTAAGAGAAGCCTCTACATCAGTCCTTGGCCAGTGGGAAATGCGCTATCGTACTGGATAATGCCAACTGGAAGCTTTGAAACTGCCCCATCTGGCAAGGATATTAAACTAACAACAATATCACATCCTGGGAAGGATAGCCAAGATTAGTGCCCCCTTAAATATCTAAAGACTGAAAGATCACTTGCAAAAAACAGATAAATCCTGAATAGCTGCAGACTAGTAGTCTTGATCACAGCTGTCATGTCAGACATGGTATCATTGCTAGAACAAGTTAACAGGGCTTCAGGTAAATGGTTTTTGTCCATTGATATGGCAAATGCATTCTTGTTTCTTGGGAGCATCCCAAGAGTGACTGTTTCAGGAGATCTATTAAGAAGTTGTAAGGTTTCTTTTAACGTACCTTCGAAGTTCCAGAACATCATTTTTGTTGCATTCTATTGGTGAAGTCACTGTGCCAGCCCAGGTTCAAGAAAAATGAACCACACAGGGCATCAATGCTGAGAGGCATGGTTCACTTGGCATCCATGTGTCTAGACTAGCTACCACATTGACTTGAGACTCATTTTGATAGTCCCGTCTGAAGATTAATGTATTTGTTTTTACCTAGCAAAAACATACATGGTGCATTGTATGTGTCAGACCCTATTCTAAGTACTTTATACATATTAGCTCATTTAATCATCGTAACAACCTTTATTCTTATTTTACAGATGAAGAAATACAGGAACAGAAATGTTAAGTCATTTGCCCAAAGTTTTTCCGACAGTGATTAGCAATGATAGATGTAAGCCCAAGCAGAATGGCTACAGTCATTTTCTTGAAAATTACACTGTGCTTTCTCAGCTGTTACATCTTTAAATACAGACCATTCTCTTTGTGCTCTTTTTCTGGACCTCCTTTCTAACAGATGTGCTGGGAAGTTCACAACGTATTTCCTGCAATCAGGCAAGAGAAAGAAATAAAGAGTATTCAATTAGGAAAAGAGGAAGTCAAATTGTCTCTGTTTGCAGATGACATGATCGTATATTTAGAAAATCCCATCATCTCAGCCCAAAATCTCCTTAAGCTGATAAGCAACTTCAGCAAAGTCTCAGGATACAAAATCAATTTGCAAAAATCGCAAGCATTCCTATACACCAACAACAGACAAACAGAGAGCCACATCATGAGTGAACGCTCATTCACAATTGCTACAAAGAGAATAAAATACCTAGGAATACAACTTACAAGTGATATGAAGGACTTCTTCAAGGAGAACTGCAAACCAATGCTCAAGGAAATAAGAGAGGACACAAACAAACAGAAAAACATTCCATGCTCATGCATAGGAATAATCAATATCGTGAAAATGGCCACACTGCCCAAAGTAATTTATAGATTCAATGCTATCCCCATCAAGCTACCATTGACTTTCTTCACAGAATCAGAAAAAACAACTTTAAATTTCAAATGGAACCAAAAAAGAGCCTGCATAGCCAAGACAATCCTAAGCAGAAAGAACAAAGCTGGAAGCATCACACTACCTGACTTCAAACTATACTACAAGGCTACAGTAACCAAAACAGCATGATACTGGTACCAAAACAGATATATAGACCAACGGAACAGAACAGAGGCCTCAGAAATAACACCACACATCTACAACCAACTGATCTTTGACAAACCTGACAAAAACAGGCAATGGGGAAATGATTCCCTATTTAATAAATGGTGTTGGGAAAACTGGCTAGCCAGATGTAGAAAGCTGAAACACGATCCCTTCCTTACACCTTATACAAAAATTAACTCAAGATGGATTAAAGACTTAAACATAAGACCTAAAACCATAGAAACCCTAGAAGAAAACCTAGGCAATACCATTCAGGTCATAGGCTTGGGCAAAGACTTCATGACTAAAACACCAAAAGCAATGGCAACAAAAGCCAAAATAGACAAATGGGATCTAATTAAACTAAAGAACTTCTGCACAGCAAAAAAAAACTATCAGCAGAGTGAACAGGCAACCTACAGAATGAGAGAAAATTTTTGCAATCTATCCATCTGACAAAAGGCTAATATCTAGAATCTACAAAGAACTTAAACAAATTTACAAGAAAAAAGCAACCCCATCAAAAAGTGAGCAAAGGATATGAACAGAAACTTCTCAAAAGAAGACATTTATGCAGCCAACAAACATATGAAAAAAAGCTCATTATCACTGGTCATTAGAGAAATGAAAATCAAAACCAAAATGAGATACCATCTCACGCCAGTTAGAATGGTGATCATTAAAAAGTCAGGAAACAACAGATGCTGGAAAGGACATGGAGAAATAGGAACACTTTTACACTGTTGGTGGGAGCGTAAATTAGTTCAACCATTGTGGAAAACAGTGTGGCGATTCCTCAAGGATCTAGAACTAGAAATATCATTTGACCCAGCAGTCCCATTACTGGGTATATACCCAAAGGATTATGTATCATTCTACTATAAAGACACACACATGTATGTCTATAGCAGCACTGTTCACAATAGCATTGACTTGGAACCTACCCAAATGCCCATCAATGATAAACTGGATAAAGAAAATATGGCACGTATACACCATGGAATACTATGCAGCCATAAAAAGGGATGAGTTCATGTCCTTTGCAGGGACATGGATGACACTGGAAAGCATCATTCTCAGCAAACTATCACAAGAACAGAAAACCAAAACAGAGAACCGCTTGTTCTCACTCATAGGTGGGAGTTGAACAGTGAGAACACATGCACACAGGGAGGGGAACATCACACCCCAGGGCCTGTCAGGGGGTGGGAGGGTAGGGAAGGGGTAGCATTAGGAGAAATACCTAATGTAGATGACGGGTTGATGGGTGCAGCAAACCACCATGGTACATGTATACCTATGTAACAAACCTGCACGTTCTGCACAGGTACCCCAGAACTTAAAGTATAATAATAAAAAAAAGGAAGTTAAAAAAAATTACTAAGAGTTTCAAGACAGTGACCACAAAGCATTAAATCAAACATAGGGCCCTTCTGAGTGCAGGGTCCTTTGTGACTGCATGGGTCGCAGGCCCATGAAGCTTCCTTTGTAATAAAAGAAAATTTAAAACAAATAATATGTACAATCACAAAGAGACAATACATAAAGAAGAAAATTGCTGATCATGACTTCATTAAAATAGCGAATGGCTAGTCAACTAAGAAAATTGTAGATAAAATTAAGATGAATAATATTTGAAAGAGCACAATACAGTGATCACTAGAACTAAGGAGCCTCAGTTTGAGTCCTGGTTTCACAATATATCACAAGAAGAAAAATTTACTTAAATCCTTTGAGCCTCAGTTTTCTTGTGATATAAGATAAATGACTGTATTACTTACTTCATTGGGTTTTTGTGAGAATTAAGAGAGCTAATAGATGTAAAGAACTTAGAACAATACCTTACACATAATAAGCATGCAATAAATAGTATTCATTTGTATTATATTCACAGTGTATAAAATAACAAGAAGTTGAGGGCTGGCCAAGATGGCCAACGAGAAGCACCTATTGTGCACCGCTGTCACAGAGCAAAATAGAAGAGGCAAGTAAATACAGTATCTTCAACTGAACTGGGTACGTGCATTGGGATTCATCAAGAAAACAACCCAACCCACAGAGAACAGAGAAAAGCAAGGCAGGAGAACCACCCACTTGGGAATGACATGTAGCCAGGGTAGCCTCCCCTGCCCAGAGAAGTGGTGAGTGAGTGAGCGACCTTGGGAACCCATACTTTTCCCACAGAACTTTGCAACCCTCAGGTCAGGAGATCCCTCATGAACTCACTCCACCAGGGCCTTCAGTCTGACATGCAAAGCTATGTGGAGTCTCGTCAGAGCATCCACTCAGGCACACTGGAAGCCACAGGAGCTTAAGATACCCAGGCTTCCCAGCAAAAGTAACTGCAACTCTGGCAAACTGGGAGGTTAGACACCCCCCCCCATATATACCCCTAGAAAACGGTCTAAATCCACGGGGCTGAGCAATGACTATCTGCAAGCCCCATTTCCATGGAACATCACAGGATAAGACCCAATAGCTTTGAACTCTAGGCTGCCATGGGTAGCAACATTATACCTCCCTGAGATGGAGATCTCAGAGGGAGGCTTGGGCTGCCTTCTTTGCTGTTTCATAGCCTTAACCATTGGTGCCTTCAGGCTCTGGGGAATCTGAGGTGACTAGGGACTGGAGTGGTACCCCAGCACAACATAGCAGCTCTACAAAGAGATGGCCAGACCACTTTTTCATGTGGGTCTCAGATCCCATTTCTGTTTACTGGGAGGAATCCCCTGACCGAGGTCTACAACCACTTCTGCTGGTGTTTTCCGGCCAGTAGCAATCCCAAACCTCCCTAGCAGAGCTCCCAGAGGAGGGGTAGGCCTCCATCTTTACTGTTTTGCAGGCTTAGCCATTGTCACTTTTGGGCTTTGGAGAGCTGGAAGCAACTGGGGGCTGGAGTAGACCCCAAAGACAGCATAGCTGCTCTATGAAAAAGTGGCCAGACTGCTTTTTAATGCACCTCCTGATCCTGTTTTTCCTCACTGAGTGGGAACTTCTGGGATCCCCAGCCAACCCTGCCAGTGTGTTTGGGCTGGTAACAGGTCCATTCCTTCCTGGAGCAGAGCTCCCAGAGGGAGGCGCAGGCCGCCATCTTTGCTGTTTGACAAACTTCACTGTTGATACCATCAGGTACTGGAAAATCTGAAGTGACTAGGGACTGGAGCAGATCCCCAGAATATGGTAGCAGCTCTATGGAAAAGTGGTCAGACTGTATGTTATGTGGGTCCCCAATCCTGTATCTTCTCCTGGGGCAGATCCTCCCAGCCTAGTCTCCAGTCACCCTTACACTGGGACTATTGAGCCAGTAGCAGTTCTGCAATGCCCTGGGACAAAGCTCCCAATGGAAGGGGTGGGTTGTCATCTTTGCTTTCTCACAGTCTTCATCCTTGTGTCCCCAGGCCCTGGAGAGTCTGTGGGACCAAGGGCTGGTTGGGACCCATAACACAGAGCATCCACATCATAGAAAAGTGGCTGAACTGTTCTCCATGCAGATCCTGATCCTCACTTCTCCTCACTGGGCAAGGCCACATGACCTGGGACTCCAGCACAATCACCCAGCTGCCACCTGACCACTTCAATCAGAGGCAGTTCTGCAGTTAAAGGAACACTCACACACAGAGATGAGAAAAAAAAAAAAAGAACTCTGGCAACTCAAATGGTCAGAGTGTCTTATGTCCTCCAAATGATCACTCTAGTTCTTCAACAAGAATTCTTAAGCAGACTGAGATGGCTGAAATAACAAATAGAATTCAGAATATGGATAGGAATGAAGATAATTGAGATTCAGGAGAATGGCAAAACCCAATCCCAGGAAGCTAAGAATCACAATAAAACGATACAAGAGGTGACAGACAAAACAGCCAGTATAAAAACAACCTAACTGACCTGATAGAGCTGAAAAACTCACTAAAATAATTTTTCAATGCAATCACAAATATTAATAGCAGAGTAGACAAAGCTGAGGAAAGAATCTGAGAATTTGAAGACAGGCTCTCTGAAATAAGAGAGTCAGACAAAAATAAAGAATAAAAGGAAAAGGAATGAACAAAACCTCTGTGAAATATGAGATTATGTAAAGAGGCCAAATCTACAAATCACTGGTATCCCTGCAAGAGAGGGGGAGAAAGCAAACAACTTGGAAAACATATTTCAGGATATCAACCATGAAAACTTCCCCAATCTTGCTAGAGAGGCCAATAGTCAAATGCAGGAAATACAGAAAACCTCTGCAAGATTCTAGACAAGAAGATCATCCCCAACACACAAAATCATCTTATTTTCCAAGGACAAAATGAAAGAAAGAATGTAAAAGGCAGCTTGACAGAAAGGGCAGGTCACCTACAAAGGGAACCGTATGAGGCTAACAGTGGACCTCTCAGCAGAAATGTTGAAAGCCAGAAGAGATTGCAGGTCTATATTCGATATTCTTAAAGAAAAATTTCTTTAACCAAGAATTTTATATCCAGCCAAACTAAGCTTTCTCTGTGAAGGAGAAATAAGATCTTTTCAGACAAGTAAACATTGAGGGATTGTATTACTAGACCCACCTTACAAGAGATCTTGAAAGGAGTACTAAATATGAAAAGAAAACACCATTACCAGCCAATACAAAAACACATTTAAGTACACAGACCCGTGACACTATAAAGCAACCAGACAAACAAGCAGGCATAATAACCAGCTAACAACAAAAAGACAGGATTAAATCTACATATATCAATACAAACATTGAAAGTAAACAGGCTAAATGTCCCAATTAGAAGGCACAGAGTGGCAAGCTGGGTAAAGAAGCAAAATCCAATTGTATGCTGTCTTCAGGAAACCCATCTCACATGCAATGACACCCATAGGCTCAAAATAAAGGGATGGAAAAAATCTGCCAAGTAAATGAAAATCAGAAATAAGAAGAGGTTGCAATTCTAATTTCAGAGAAAAACAGACTTTAAACTAACAAAAACGAAAAAAGACAAGGAAGGGCATTATCTAATGATAAAGGATTCAATTCAACAGGAAGATCTAGATATCCTAAATATATATGCACCCACAGCAGGAGAATCCAGATTCATAAAGCAAGTTCTTAGAGACCTACAAAGAGACTTAGATGCCCACACAATGGGAGTCTCCAGTAGGGTATTTCAACACTCCCCTGACAGTACTAGACAGATCATCAAGGCAGAAAATTAACAAAGATTTAAACAAAGATTGAACTCAACATTGGATCAAATAGATCTGATAGACCTCAGAACTCTCCACCCCAAAACAACAGAATGTGCATTCTTCTCATCAACACAGGCACGTACTCTAAAAATAGACCCCACAATTGGACATAAAACAATCCTCAGCAAATGCAAAAGAACTGAAATCATACCAAACACATTGGTGGACAACAGCTCAATAAAAATAGAAATCAAGACTAAAAAAATCACTCAATCCATGCAATTACATGGAAATTAAACAACTTACTCTTTAATGAATTTGAGGTAAGTACTGAAATTAGTGCAGAAATCAAAATGTTCTTTGAAACTATTGAGAATGAAGATACAACATACCAGAATCTCTGGGGCACAGCTAAGGCAGCATTAAGGGGGAAATTTGTAGCACTAAATGCCCACATCAAAAAGATACGAAGATCTCAAATTAACAACCTAACATCATAAGTAAAAGAACTAGAGACAGAAGACAAAACCAACCCAAAAGCTAGCAGAAGACAAGAAATAACCAAAATTAGAGCTGATCTGAAAGAAATTGAGATGAGAAAAACCATACAAAAGATAAACGAATCCAGGAGTTTGTTTTTTGGGAGAATTAATAAGATGAATAGACTCCTAGCTAGATCAATAAAGAAGGAAAGAGAGATGATCCAAATAAACACAATCAGAAATGACAAATGGGATGCTACCATTGACCCCACAACAATACAAATAATCATCAGAGACATGATGAATCATGAACACATATGCACATGAACTAGAAAACCTCGATGAGATGGATAAATTTCTATACACATACATCCTCCCACGTCTGAACCAAGAAGAAACTGATTCTGTGAAGAAACCAATAACGAGCTCTGAAATTGAATCAGTAATAAATAGCCTACCAAACAAAGGGGGAGTGACTCCTCCCCAACTCATTCTATGAGGCCAGCATCATCCTGATACAAAAACCTGAAAGAAACACATACATGAAAGGAAAACTTCAGGCCAATATTCTTAATGAACATAGATGCAAAAATTCTCAACAAAATGCTAGCAAACTGAATTCAGCAGCACATCAAAAAGCTAATACAAAATGATTAAGTAGGCTTTATCCCTGGGATACAAGGTTGGTTCAACATTTGCAAATTAATAAATGTGATTCATCACATAAACAGAACTAAAAACAAAACTCACATGATTATCTCAATAGATAACAGAAGAGGCTTCCAATTAAGTTCAACATTGCTTCATATTAAAAATTCTCAATAAACTAGGTATTAAGGAAAATACCTCAAAATAGTAGGAGCCATTTATGACAAATCCAAAGCCAACATCATACTGAATAGACAAAAGCTGGAAGCATTCCTCTGGAAAACCAGCACAAGACAAGGATGTCCTCTCTCAGCACTCCTATTCAACATAGCATTGGAAGTCCTGGCTAGAGCAATTAGGCAAGAGAAAGAAATAATGGGCATTATAGGAAGAGAGTAAGTAAAACTATTCCTGTTTGCAGATGACATGATTCTATATCTAGAAAACCCCATAGTCTTGGTCAAAAAGCTCCTTCAGCTGATACACTATTTCAGCAAAGTTTCTGGATACAAAATCAATGTACAAAAGTCACTAGCATTCCTATACAGCAACAACAGTCAAGCTGAGAGACAAATCAGGAACACAATCCCATTCACAATTGCCAAAGAAAGAATATAATACCAAGAAATGCAGCTAACAAGGCAGGTGAAAGGTCTCTACAATAAGAACTACAAAACACTACTCAGAGAAATCAGAGATAATACAAACAAATGGAAACAGATTTCTTGTTCATGGGTAGTAAGAATCATATTGTTTAAATGGCCATACTGCCCAAAGCAATTTACAGATTCAATGCTATTTCTATCAAACTACCAAAGACATTCTTGGTAGTTTCTAAACTAAAGTTTAGAATACTAGAATAAACTAGTTTATTCTAGAAAAACACTTTAAAATTCATGTGAAACCAAAAAAGAACCTGAATAGCCAAGCAATTCTAAGCAAAAAGAACAAATTTGGAGGCATCATGTTACCCTACTTCAAGCTATACTACAGAGCAACAGTAGCCAAAACAGGTTTCCTGAAAAATACCAGGGTATTCTTTCAGGAAAGTCCCAAAAATGGGAAAGTAAATCCATATCTCTGTCCTAGGAAATAAAAAGAAATTTGACTAAGAAAACATATTAAGCCATTGAGACCTGTGTTGGCCATAGTTCTAAAACTAAGGAACAAACTTAGTAAGGAAAAAAAAAAAACAAGAATGAAAAAAACAAATGAAACTTCACACAGGAATTCCCCAAGGCCACTGATTCATATTACAGGTGTGGAAAGGCATCCTGCTAATTCCTAAAATCTTTCTCAACACCAGGGGACACTCTCCCTTTGGATTTCTATGTCTAGAGACCTGTGGCTCATTAAAAGGCAGACTGATTTTTCAGAAAGAGAGAAAGAGGTTTTTAAAGATGAGTTTATGCTGCAATCCCAACATGAACTATTACTTCAAATATGTTTTAACTTTTATAATCACTGGGAATATAAACATGAATAGCTTCCTTAACTGTGAATCAGAACACTCAATCAGGTAAGAGAATGAACTAGGAGACAGGCTGTGAAGTTACACATAATCTCAATATGTTAATGAATGATCTATCTACTTGCTAGTATTAAACACCCAGTATCTAGATCTCATTTTCTATCTAATGGTGGACTCCTCATTGTGTTTGTGAGATATGAAGGCCCTTGACTTACCATGTTTTTATTGCCATACCTTGTTCTCAATTCAACATATCTAGTTCTCTAGACATTATCCAAAGCAAACATGTGATTTCTAAATGGTGAAATTTCAGTGAAGGAAACGATTTACTACAGACCACTCTGACTGCTAATTTTCTCAGAAGCTAGGAATATATGTTTTACCATATGGATTTTTGGGACAATTTTGTTTTCTGGGTCCAAGAACCAAAAATTATATTTGAAATATAATTTGTATTTTAAACAGGAGTGGTAATTTTTAAATATACAAAATATACATGGTCATTCAAGAAAGTTATTGTGAATTATTTGAAGGCAGTCCTTCATGGAGGTATAGTAAAAGTTAGATTGTTTTTCAAAACTTCTTCCCAGCTATGAAGCCAAAAAACCCATGGGCTCTCTAGAAGTGTTCCCTTGTTCATTATTTTTTTTTACCCTAGTCACATCAAATTATATTCTTTTCTCCTCAGTGGTTTCTAAAACCTTGAATGATACTCCTTTTATAGGAAGCACTCCAATGTCAGCATCTCTTTTCAATTTCTTTACAGTTCTACTAGCTCTCTCAGTGCCTCTCACTTCTGTAAGTTCCCCACACATCCTGACTTCTTCCCTCCCAATATACAAGAGCTAATCCATTACAGCCTAATGAAAAGAACAAAGAAGAAGCTACTTCACAATATTATGTCTGCTTTTATTAGTAAACCTAATGAAGATAATACCAGTACTTTGCAAATTATGGAGAAAAAATTTTTCTAGAAAATGTAATGGATCTAGAAGAGAAGAAGGTGAATTTCACTTGAGGTAGAATATTCCTTAATATCTGATGAGTGAGTTTATTTCAGGCAAAATAAAAACAGAACTTAAGAAAATAGATCACAAGAGAAGACAATTTCAAGAAGGCTGAATATATATTTTGAGGAGAGGTTAGTATTGGTGAAAAAAGAAGAGAAACTACTGAATCTATCAGAGGAAATACTATTCTTATCCAGGGATTCACAGATTTCCTAGGAAAGAAAGAGTCTAAGATCAACTGGTGAATAAAAGCACAATAACATTTGCAATGAAAAAAATAATTTGGGATTCTATTTCAAAAAATGTATAAAGGGTCAGATTATAGGAAGAAACTGAGCTCATCATCAGATATAATAGTGATGAAATTTTAAATATTCAGGTTAATATGTGATTAATGTGGTCATGTTTCTTACCCCAGTAGGTCACTGCGACATTTCAGGGATGTGGGTCAGGAAGAGATCAGTAAGAGAATATCTCTAATTCATTTACATTCTAAAATGAGGAAATGCAATTACTACTACTCTTTCAAGATTTAAAAAAAAAATCGTGGTTTTGATGCATTGAAACCTGTCTTTTTATTTAAGTTAACATCCTACTGGTGGTTTCTTACTAGGCCAAGAGATAGCTATGTGGTATGCTTAAAAATTGCCCCCTGTGAGAGCTGCTTGGGAAGATGAAAGGAAAGCTGTGACCGAATGAAGATATTCACAGGCCCAGAGATGTGGCTAATGCCTGTAATCGCAGCACTTTGGGAGGCCGAGGCAGGCAGATAACTTGAGGTCAGGAATTCAAGACCAGCCTGGCATACACGGTGAAACCCCATCTCTATTAAAAATACAAAAATTAGCCAGGTGTGGTGGTGGACTCCTGTAATCCCAGTTACTTGGGAAGCTGAGGCGAGAGACTCTCTTGAACCCAGGAGGCGGAGGTTGCAGTGAGCCAAGATCACACCACTGCACTTCAGCCTGGGAGAAAGAGTGAGAATCTCAAAAAAAAAGAATGAAAATATTCACAGCCAGAGAAGACTGTAGGCTAGCAACGTTTTCTGATTCCTGGGAGAAAGAAATATATTAATGAAAAACATAATAAAAAAATAGTTGTGTCAGAGATCATAACAGATATATATATATATATCTTTAATATTTAGCCATCTAAAAGCCAAAAATGTAAAACTTGTGAGGTTGAATCATGCAAAACAACAATACTCTCCCTCCAGATATTCTTGGCTTGGTAAGAAAATTCTGAGCTGGAAGGATTCTGATTGTGATTAGTGTTCCATACATTATTTTGTCTTTTGTCTGAAGCAATGCTGAATACAACCTCAGTCACTGAATTTCTCCTTTTGGGAGTGACAGACATTCAAGAACTGCAGCCTTTTCTCTTCGTTGTTTTCCTTACCATCTACTTCATCAGTGTGGCTGGGAATGGAGCCATTCTGATGATTGTCATCTCTGATCCTAGACTCCATTCCCCTATGTATTTCTTCTTGGGAAACCTGTCCTGCCTGGACATCTGCTACTCCAGCGTAACACTGCCAAAAATGCTGCAGAACTTCCTCTCTGCACACAAAGCAATTTCTTTCTTGGGATGCATAAGCCAACTCCATTTCTTCCACTTCCTGGGCAGCACAGAGGCCATGTTGTTGGCCGTGATGGCATTTGACCGCTTTGTGGCTATTTGCAAGCCACTTCGCTACACTGTCATTATGAACCCTCAGCTCTGTACCCAGATGGCCATCACAATCTGGATGATTGGTTTTTTCCATGCCCTGCTGCACTCCCTAATGACCTCTCGCTTGAACTTCTGTGGTTCTAACCGTATCTATCACTTCTTCTGTGATGTGAAGCCATTGCTAAAGCTGAGCTTAATCAGTGGCTGCTCAGTACTGTCACAGGGACAATCGCCATGGGCCCCTTCTTTCTCACATTACTCTCCTATTTCTACATTATCACCCATCTCTTCTTCAAGACTCATTCTTTTAGCATGCTCCGCAAAGCACTGTCCACTTGTGCCTCCCACTTGATGGTAGTTATTCTTTTGTATGCACCTGTTCTCTTCACCTATATTCATCATGCCTCAGGGACCTCCATGGACCAGGACCGGATCACTGCCATCATGTATACTGTGGTCACTCCAGTACTAAACCCACTGATCTACACTTTGAGGAACAAGGAAGTGAAAGGGGCCTTTAATAGAGCAATGAAAAGGTGGCTTTGGCCTAAAGAAATCTTGAAGAACTCTTCTGAAGCATAAATAAACAATTAAAAAGATGAGTTTGTAATTACATTGTTTCTTAAATTATTTAGAAATGTACAACAGAGGGAACTGGATAAAACAAAAATATATGGAAAAATATGCTGTAGTTGTATTTAACAATGCTTTCCTGGATTATATAAGGGACATTTGAATGAATGGGATACTAGCCATGGAACTCTACTGCTGACTATGTTTTGAAGATATCAGTTGATAAAATTGATGTTAGGTTTTTTATATGTTCTTATGATGAAATTGGGTATAGAAATATGCCTGTTTTTCCCATATATCAAATATATGGATAATACTTGGGTCTATTTATCTATCTGGTCCCTCTAGGTTAATGCATTATAATATTATAAATAAAATTATTATGCTTTGATATTTTGAGGATTTTACTTTAGGGCCATAGTTACTCAACTGGAAAAGAATATGCTAACTGACGTATGAGTTAAGGAGAATTTTTAAGGGGTGGGTCTTGATTTCTTATTCTTCAAACAAGGAGACAAGTAATTAAAGCAAATGACATTGTAATCACTAAATAACAACAACAACAAAAACCCTGACAGTTCATCTAAATAGTTTTGGCACCTCTGTCTCCAGATATCTCTTATTAGTCAACTGTCCACACCCTCAATGATTACTTAAAATATTAAAAATCGGAGATAATTTAACAAAGCTCTTAAGACTCTTTCAATCTCGTTAGGATGTTATTGTTCCCTCAGCCTTTAATTGCGGAAGATGACGACTTTATCAAAATTTTATTTTCTTTTTCTTACTTGGCACCAAACTCATACTAAGCAAAGGCATAGAAGTCATAATTATTGAAGTATTTCTAGACATGAACTGCTATGTTCCTCACTTTTTAAGTTCCTATAAATGGCTTCTGTCCCTGAAAAAATGGTGGATTCTATAATTTATAAATATTTAAAGAATAGACAGAAAATACTATGAAAAGGCATTTTAAGCTGGTGGACTGACCCTTCAAGGTCCCTGCATGCACTTTTGTAAATCTAAACAATTTTATTCTGACTTCTCTCCATGCTTCTTTTGTCTTCTAACTTCACCTTCTTTGGTCCCTCAATTCCAGTTTAGTTTATAATAAAACAAAACAACAATGTGTGTGTGGAGATGGCAACTCCTAATCTCAACTGTCCCACACTATCAGTAATATATTTGATGCATATTTTTATACAATATGTTTTTTCTGTCATTTCTGGTGGTGAGAATCTGCCACATAATTCAAACTTCAGAGAGTTTGTGAACTGTAGAAGAGCACATGGGGTTCTGGTTAACTATTAGTGCATAACACATTAGGACCCCAAAATTCAATCGCTTAAAACACTTAAGTTACATGCTTTGTTGGGTAAGAAATTTGGAAAAACACAGCAGAGAATGGTTGACTCTGATCCATAATGTCTCTGACCTTTGCTGGAATGACTTCAGTCTGGTCACGGAATAGCTGAGAGCTGAGTAAGTCTCTCTCTCTATTTCTTTTTCTCCTCCCTTAATTGCTCCTTGTGACTATCATATGCTTCTTCAACAGGGAAGCCTCAGACAGACTTTTTCATGTTCCAGTAGACCACGGCAAAAGCTGCCAGCCTGGGGCTGAGATTGACCAGTAATAAAATGTCTCCTATTCAAAAAAGCCCAGGATCTGATGGCTTTATTGATGTATACTACCAAACATTTATAGGATAATTAATGCCAATCTTCTTAAACTCACTCAAAAATATGAAAAGGAAGAAATACTTTCAAACTCACTTTATGAGGTCAGCATTACCCTAATACCAAAGCCAGACAACGCAACTATAAGGAAATGCAGTTACAGGCCAATATCCCTGATGAACATAGATGCAAAAATCCTCAATGAAAACTAGCAAAATGAATTCAACAGCACATTAAAATGATCATACACCATGACTAAGTGGGATTCATCCTTAGGATGCAAGAATGGGTTAACATACACAAATTAATAAATATGATATGCCACATTAACATACTGAGGGATAAAAACCATATGATAATAGGTGCAGAAGAAGCATTTGATAAAATTCAATATTCTTTCATAACTAAAAGAAACTTTCAACAAATTAGGTATAGAAGAAACATAGCTTAATGTAATAAAGATAATGTATATCAAGTCCACTGCTATTCTCATTATCAGTGTTGGAAAGCTAAAAGCTTTTCTTCCGATATCAGGAGCAAGTCAAGGAGGCCCACTTTCACAATTTCTCTTCAATATAATTCTGACATTCCTAGCTATAGCAATTACACAAAAGAAATAAATAAAAGGCATCCAGACTAAAAAGGAAGAAGTAAAATTTTCTGTTTGCAGATGACTGGATCTTACATCTAGAAAACCCTAATGACTACACCAAAAACTGTGAGAACTAATAAATTTAGTTAAGTTCACAGGATACAAAATTAACTTACAAAAGCCAGTTGCATTTTTACAACAATGATCTATTTGAATAGGAAATCAAGAAAACAATTCTATTTACAATAATATCAAAGGTAAATAAAATACTTAGGGATAAATCTAACCAAGAAGGTGAAAGATCTGTACCTTGAAAACTATAAGGCATGGATGACAGAAATTGAAAAAGATACAAATAAATGGAAAGATATTCTTTATTCATGGATTGGAAGAATTCATATTGTCAAAATGCTCATACTTTCCTAAGCAAACTGTAGATTCTTTACAATCCCTATCAATATTCTAATGGAATTTTTTACAGAAATAGCAAAAGTACTAAAATTCTTATGGAACCACAAAAGACTCCAAATAGCCAAGGCTATCTTGAGCAAAAAGAACAAAGCTGGAGGCACAACTACCTGAACTCAAAATATACCACAAAGCTATAGTAATCAAAACAGTATGATACTGGCATAAAAACAGATACATAGAACAATGGAACAGAATAGAGAGCCCAGAAATAAATCTATGTACTTATGGTCAGTTGGTCTTTGGCAAAGGTGCCAAGAACATACAATGGGAAAAGAATAGTTTCTCCAATAAATTGTGTTGGAAAAACTTAATATTCCACCTAAAGAAGAATGAAATTAAACCATTGTCTCAAACAATACGCAAAAATCAATTTAATTGGATTAAAAACTGAAAGGCAAGACCTGAAACTAAAACTACTGGAAGAAAACAGGGAAAAACTTCTCAATGGTGGTCTGGGAAATGATATTTTTAAAATATCATACGTAAAGCACAGGAAACAAAATCAAAAATAAATACGATTCTACCAAACTAAATAGTTCCTATTTAACAAAAGAAAACATCAACAGAATGAAGAGATAACCTATGAAATGGGAAAACAATATTTCATAAAGAGTTAATATCCAAAATATACATTTTTTAAAAACTCAATAGCAAGAAAACAAATAGCCTAGTTTAAAAATGAGGAAAGAATCTAAATAGACATTTTTTCAATGAAATAGATATTTCCACACAAATGGCCAAGTGTATTTTTTAATGTTCAACATCATTAAATCAAAGGAAATACAAACTACAACCACGAGATATCACTTCACATCTGTTAGAATGGCTTTTATCAAAAAGACAAAAAATAACAAGTATTAATGAGGATATAAAAAGAGAACCTTTGTACATTGTTTTTGGGAATTTACATTTGTACAGCCATTATGGGGAACATATAGAGATTCCTCAAAAAACATAAAGGTAGAAATACCATATGATTCAGTAATCCCACTTCTGGGTATATGTCTAAAGGAAATAAAATCAGTATTTCAAAACCAAACATTGTATGTTCTCACTGATATGTGGGAGCTAAGCTATAAGGATGCAAATACATAAGAATGATACAGTGGACTTAGGGGACTTGGGGTGTAGAGTGGGAGGGGGGGTGAAGGATAAAAGACTACAAATACGGTGCAGTGTATACTGCTTGGGTGATGAGTGCACCAAAATCTCACAAATCACCACTAAAGAACTTACTCATGTAACCAAATACTACTTGTACCCCAATAACCTATGGAAAAATAAAAAAAAAATTAGTATTTCAAAGACATATCTGCACTCTTGTGTTCATTGCAGCATGATTCTCAATAGCCAAGATACAGAATTAGCCCAAAGGTCCATCAAAACAGAGAAGTGGATTTAAAAATGTGACCTATATAATGTGCATATAGCGTGGTGATTATAGTTAACAATACTGTATTATATACTTGAAATTTTCTAAACTAGAAGATCATAAATGTTCTCACCACACACATACAAAAGGTTGTAACTATGTGAGGTGATGGATGTGTTAATTGGCTTAATTGTGGTAATCGTTTCACAATGTATACATATCTCAAAACATCACAGTAAACATCATAAATATATACAACTTCATGTGTCAGTCATACCTTAATAAAGTTAAGAGGAAGAAAACGACCACCAAACCCTCTAGGCAGGGGAATATATCAATAGGAACTTTAAAAACTGAAAAGCGAAGAAAACAAAGACTTATTAAAGCAGAGAAGAATATTCAAGGATTCTGGAAAAACTCCAAAATATGTAATACATACAATGGGAATATCAGAAGGAGTAGAAAAGTAGATAGGAACAGAAGAAATATTTGAAGCAATAACTGAAAATTTCCCCAAATTAATATGAGACATCAAACTTCAAATCTAGGAGGCTCAAGGAATACCAAGAAGCATAAATGCCAGAAAAACTATGGCTAGGAATATCATTTTTAAACTATGGAAAATTAAACAAAAATCAGAAAGTCAAAGATTTTTTTTAAATCATGAAGAAGCCAGAGGATAAAAAATACCATACCTTTAGGGAAGAAAAGATGACATCTGAGTTCGCAGAAGCTACAAAAGTTAGAAGAAAATAGAGTGAAATATTTAAAATTTTTGATAGAAGAAAAACCAATCTAGAATTCTGCACTACATGAAATTATCCTTCAAAAGTGAATGAGAAATAAACCTTCTCAGAGGAACAAAAATTGAGGGAATTTATTGCCAATAGACTTGCCTGGTAAAAAGTGATAAAATAAATTTTTTAGAGAGTAATAAAATTATACAAGTGAGACATTTCAATCCACCTTTAAGAACAGAAGAGCATTGAAGAAGAAATAAGTGAAAGTAAAATAAAAGAAAAAATATCTAATTACGTATGCTTATGTAAGTGTGTGTGTGTGTGTGTATGCTTTCATATGCTTAGGATGGTTTCATAACTTTGCTCTTGTGAAAAGTGCTGCAATTAACATACACATGCAGGTGTCTTGTTTGTACCATGATTTATTTTCCTTTGGGTAGATATCTAGTATTGGGATTGCTGAATCAAAGGGTAGTTCTAATTTTAGCCCTTTAAGAAATCTTCATACTGTTTTCCATAGAGGTTGTACTAATTTATATTCTCATCAACAGTATATAAGCATTCCCTTTTCTCTGCATTCTCACCAACATCTCTTGTTTTTGACTTTTTAATAATAGTTACTATTACTGGTATGAGATGATATCTCAGTGTGGTTTTAATTTGCACTTCTCTGATGACTAGCAATGTTGAGCTTTTTTTATATGTTTGTAGGTTTTGTAGGCTGATTGTATGTCTTCTTTTAAATGTAAGACCTGAAACTATAAAAATTTTAGAAGAAAACCTAGGAAAAACTCTTCTGAACATTGGCCTAGGCAAAGAATTTGTGACTAAGACCTCAAAAGCAAATGCAACAAAAATAAAAATAGACAAACAGAACTTAATTAAACTAAAAGGCTTCTGCACAGTGAAGGGAATAATCAACAGAGTAAACAAACAACCTACAGAATGGGAAAACATATTTGCAAATTATGCACCTAATACGGGACTGGTATCCAGAACTTACAAGGAACTTAAACAACTCAACAAGAAAAACAAATAAATAACCCCATTAAAAAGTGGACAAAGGAAATTTTTGTATTTAGTATATGCTTGAAATGTTTGTATTTTAAAATGTCAAAAGAAAAAAAAATTAGTACCTAACATTATCCTTTCGCACTGTGCCAAGAGTAGACATTCATTATAGTGCTTTTACATCTGTGAACACCCCCACTACATTGTGATCATTTCCTAGATTCCTTAACAGCTGGTAACAACCATGGAAATTAGGTCCTACCAATCAGCAAGACTATGCATGTGGAATTCAGTCTTCTCTGCATGAAACAGAGGAATCTGGTCCTTCTGGAGCATCAGTGATGGATCTAGAAGTACTCTAGGGTTGAGTAATGATGGCAGTGATATTTACGCCAACAAGAGACCCTCTGTGTTTCTGCATCTCATTCCTGGCAGAATAATTCAGAGTCTGACTCTCTTTACCTACAGGATAGTGTGTGAGCTATCAAATATTATATAAGAAAAAACAGCAGCTTAAATTAGCCAGGGTAGCTTATGTTGTTTGCAACTGAAACCACACCAAGAAAATTCACTTCTCTCAATTACTCACTCCTGATTTTAGTTACATATGCACACAGACACACAGAATAGAGCCTGATATGGTTTCGTTTTATGTCCCCACACAAATCTCATCTCAATTGTAATCTCCCATGTCAAGGGAGGGACCTGGAGGGAAGTGATTTCATCATGGGGGAACTTTCCCCCACGCTGTTCTCCTGACATATACACTAAGTAAACAGAGCTCTGGTCTATATAACCCTGGGAACCAACCACATCCTCTCTGTACTACTTACCTCCAGACTTCTTTTACTTGAGAGAAAAATTAACTTTTACTTACATGACAATTTTTACTTTTAAAACTTTGTATTGACAGTTTCTAATAGCTAAGTGTGATTCCTGGCTGACTGATATATAATGTACTAGAGAGCCATTTATTAAAATGGTGAATTTTGGAATTGAAAAAGGAACATAAAAACATTTGGAATAAAAGTTAATCATCACCTTTCCACAATGGATGATTAAAGTATTAGGGAAAACGTTAATTAGAAACTGAGTAATTGATAGATCTGACTGATACCACCTCAACTCACTGGACAATAATATAAATAGCATCTCTAAGAGTGGGACAACTAAATATCATGTGTCTCAGGATATGATGCAATAAAAATAACATAGCAACTTAAGTCAATGGCATGACAAAAAAGTGGGGTCTGCTATGTTATAAAGGGACTGGAAAGACAATAACAAAATACATTGTGTGAACCTTGTTTAGATCCTAATTTTAAGAAATTACTTAAAGATCAATGGAGAAATTTGAACATGGCTTGTGTATTAGATGATATAAAGGAAATACTGATAATTGTGCTAAGTATCATAATGGTATTGTGGGCATGGTTTTTTAAAATGTCTTTATTAGTCACAGATTATACTAAATACATATGTGGAATATGTACATACATAACTTACACAACATAATAGTTATACAACATCTGGAATTTGCCCTAAAATTTTCCATGAAAACTAACAAACAAGGAGCTGTAGCTAATTAAAATAAGATTAGCAAAATGTTGATGTTGAAGCTGGATGGTGGCTACATGGAGTACATGGGGGTTCACTGTGCTCTTCTCTTTTATGTATGTTTGAAATGTTCTACAAGAAAAGAAGTTTAAAAGAAAAGGAATTCAGCTTTAGATTTTTAAAAACACATATCCTTAGATCTTGCAATTTAGGTGCTAAAAGTTTATTACAGGAAAATCCAGATGTAAACAATGTACAGTAAAAGAATAGAATACAACTAAAAATTCCCAAAATAGAATAACAAATCATGTTTAGCCATACGATGAAGCCCAGAAGAATAAAGAAATAGATGCTTGTTAATAGAAAAAGTTGTTCGTGACACAGTGTTCAGTGGAAAACCAGATTACAAACTCCATGATCCAACTTGTATGTATAAATATAAATACACATAGAAAGAAATTTTTAAATGTCATACAACAATAATATAAAAAACAATATTTCTAGGTTTATTTTGGTATTGCTGTATTATTTTTAAATATTTATGACATATTTAATAAAGAACTAATCAAAGTTTAAATAATTTTGATTATTTGACATGGATGGAATTGGAGGCTACTATCCTTCGCAAACTAACACAGGAACAGAAAATCAAATACCGTATGTCTTCACTCATAAGTGGGAGCTAAATTATGAAAACATATGGATACATAGAGGGGAACAACACACTGAATCCTACTTGAGGGTGGAGGTTGGGAGGAGGGAGAAGATCAGGAAAAATGATTAATGAGTACTAGGCTTAATACCTGGGTGATGAAATAATCTGTACAGTAAACCCCCATGACACAAGTTTACCTATGTAACAAACCTGCACATGTACCCTTGAACTTAAAATAAAAGTTAAAAAATTGTTGCCCTATCATTTTCATTTTTAGTATAACTGCAGAAGAGTTCAAAGAGAATGGTCGAATAAGACAAAGTTACTCCTCTCCAACCCATCCTGGAAGAGTCCCCAGTGGAGGTGTCCGAAGTCCAAAATAACATCTTCATTACTCTCCTTCAATCAAGTGTTTCAGTTTGTTTGATACAGAGAATCTTCCGAAGTGCCTGATGCACCTCCTTGTTCCTCATGGTATAGATCACAGGATTGAAGAGAGGGGTGACCACAGTGTAGAGCAGGGAGAAGACCTTGGAGAGGAGCTGGGAATGGACAGCAGAGGGTGCAACATAAAAGATCATGAGCGTTCCATAGAATGTGGTCACTACAGCTAGGTGGGAGGAGCATGTGGAGAAAGCCCTTCTCCTGCTTGCCCCAGCAGGAACTCTCAGCACTGCCACCACAATTCTGGCATAAGATGTCAGAATCAGTCCAAAAGGAATAGTGAGGCAGAACACAGACAGAATGAGAGTTGTCACCTGAGCCACTCTGGGATCCGAGCAAGCCAGGCCCACGAAAAGCATAAAGTCACAGTAAAACTGGTCAATGTGGTTGGGGCCACAGAACCTCAGCTGGGCCACCAGGGCCACAACCAGTCCATCTACCACAAATCCAGAGAGCCAGGTTGTGACCACCAGCCCCATGTACCGTCTGGGCCCCATCAGGAGTGGGTAGTGGAGTGGGTAGCAAATTGCCAGGTAGCGGTCATATGCCATGACAGCCAGCAGTAAGCATTCAGCTGTGGCTAGAGAGCCGAAGATAAAGAACTGGAGCAAGCAACCAGCCACAGAGATAGTTGCTTCTTGCAGGAAGCCCTCCAGCATTTTTGGCATCACTGCGGAGGTGTAGAGAATATCCAGGAAGGACAGATTCGCCAAGAAAATATACATGGGTTTGTGGAGCCTCTGGGAGCTAACCACTGCTACAATAATCAGCATATTCCCTATGATGATGAAGACATAGACAGCAGTGAATACAATAAAAAACAAGAAATGCAGTTCAGGGATGTCATAGAAGCCAAGGAGGACAAATTCAGTAATAGTTTCGTTTCCTGTGGAGACAATTTCCATGTCGATCGTCCAAGTTTCTGCTTGGCAATAATTGGGGGAGAAATTTTAGCATGTCTCTGCATCTTCTATACCAAGCCTAACGTTATTAGAGCTAAAACAAAACAAAACAAAAAAGACAAAAATGAGTCTCTAAAACAAGACTCGCTCACGCAAGTCTTCAACTATCCCCCTTCTTAGTTGTCATTCCTTCCTCAACTCTCATCCTTCCCTGCCTTCCTTAATTGTGCATATTCTTTAACGCTCAGAAGAGTTTATCCAAACTCATAATTTTAGTCTTTCAAAGACCTTTACCCCATTAATTCAATCTACTACCTCTTTCGCATAATCACCTCTATCATTCTTATCTGTATAGTCAGCCATAGCCTCCTTCTTGTGCACCAGTATAATATTCTCCAAATGTGTGCTATATAGACATGGCCCACAACTGCAAACTCTTCTATCTTTCTCAATCACAACCAATTCCTCTATGAGTGGTTTGAGAATTCTGTCTAATCCCCATGGTCACTATCTCATTCTTCTCATTATCTCAACCGCCCCTTTCATTCCCCATCTCCTAATCAGTGATACCTTACCAACTGTTCCTCGGATAATTCTTATATATTCTTCACTTATTGCCTTCCTTAAATAGTAGTTTCATCAAGTCATTCAGGAGTTGGTAGTGAAAATGTGGTAAATGGTAATAGGGAAGGAAGTAGGTGCCATGGGAGCAGAGAAGGACCAAACCCAGCCTGGGGTTGTGGGGCAGAAGGTGTGGGATCAAGGTCGGGGAAGGCTTTCTGAAGATAGAAGCAAGTAGGCTAAGTTTTGAGGGCCAATTAAGAGTTGGCCAGGAGGCCGGGCTTGGTGGCTCACGCCTGTAATCCCAGCACTTTGGGAGGCTGAGGCGGGTGGATCACGAGGTCAGGAGATCGAGACCATCCTGACTAACACAGTGAAACTCCGTCTCTACTAAAAATACAAAAAAAATTAGCCGGGCGTGGTGGCGGGCGCCTGTAGTCCCAGCTACTCGGGATGCCGAGGCAGAAGAATGGCGTGAACTCAGGAGGCGGAGCTTGCAGTAAGCCGATATCGCGCCACTGCACCCCAGCCTGGGCAATAGAACGAAACTCCATCTCAAAAAAAAAAAAAAAAAAAAAAAAAAAAAGAGTTGGCCAGGCAAAAGACAGGAAACCAGACCAGGCAGGGCATCCCTGGCAGGAAAGCATATGCAAAAGCAAAGAGTTGTAATTGAGCATGACACTTCTAAATATCTGAAAATGGCTCTGTCATACCTGCTGGAAGGTTTTCATATGCTATTCAAAGCAATATGTGTTTATTAACTGAAGACAATGAGAGAGAATACAGGGAATGATTAGAAACAGTTGAGAAAGGTAGAGAAAAAAAGCAGATATCATATAAATAAATATAAATACATAATACTAACAGTGTTACTTTCTAGAATATGGGATTAATAAATATACATTATATTTATTATCACAAAAAATGTAAGTTATCTTTAATACAAATAGTCTAGAACATCAGTTTCCTAAGAGGTGAAAAACTGGATGCCTCAGGGACCACAGTGCTGGGAGCCTTCACGGCACACTGTTTTGTAGTTTTGCCTAAGACCAAATCTGCCTTTTGAATGGAATCCCATTTTCCATACCTCTGCTCATTGCTAACGTTAAATCCTCGAAGACCCAGCTTAAGAACTTATCTCTACCAAGAATCCCCCTTGACTAATAGAGCCCTTTATTTCTCTCCCAATCATGTACTAAGGATCTAGTGTATAGAAGATATTACATCTGTTTCTGAGGATAGTGGGCCAAACAAAACTGGTCCATACTCTTAAGGAGTTTACACTCTTGTGTGACAGATGGACATATCAACAGAAAATTGCAATACGCCAAAAGACAGTTAATGAATTCAACCTGAAAGAAATAGTACTAGGAGGAAGTGATGCTGAACTGATGAGTGATTGCAGTGGAAAATGGAAAGAATGGAGGTGAGGGCATTTTAGGTAAAAGGAAAACCATGAGTACACACTGAGGCAAGAAACAACATTGGATGTGAGGAGGAGAAAGAGGTAGCAGGGGGTAAGTAGCCAAGGGTAGCTCAAACAATCCCCTCGATTCTGAAGGAGAATTAGGATTGAGGTGAAGAATGGGGGAAGACAGGGAGAGAAAGGGGCCAGGATCAGAGTCTGGGGACCCTTGCTTGTCACAAGAAGGAACTAGAGCTTCATTCTATAGGCAGCAAGGCACAGCTGAAGGCTTTTAAACAGTACAGTGGCATGTTTCAACCTAAATTTAAATAGTATTATGGAAGCTACATCCAAGGTAACAAGAGTGAAAGAAGGGATGGCCCCACTCATCTGATACCTGATGTGCAAATACATGCTGCCTTGAGTTCATCATTAATTATCTTATGGTATGCACTTTCTCTTTTCCAAAAGACTAAAAGTTCATTTAGCACAGGATTTAAATTTTTATAAGTGCTACTGTACCGAAGTCTTACAAAAAGATATATTCTCAATGAATACTTAATGTTTAACACCATGTCTTCCTTAACCTAAACCCATATGAATTGATCAGAGAAGAATGCTGTTCTTCATAGACTACAAAATTCCACAGGTTCTGTTATTGCCCTCCAACTCCCGTCTCTAAAGCTATTCTCTTACCCTTTGATCCCATCTGCATTTCCTTGTGAGTGAATCTGGCACTCCCTATGTGGGCCATCTTTAACTCTAGATTATTTTATCTGGTCCAAACTCATTCTGAGGCTTGGAGTCTTTCTATAGGATTCCTGCCAGGAGAGAGGTGAGCATGTAAATCAGGCAAGAATACCTCTAATAATAAATAGCTCATGACCACTACCTCCCCTGGAAATCAAGAGTATCATTGGAGCTGGAGGCTATTATTTTAAGTGAAATATCTCAGAAACAGAAAGTCAAATATTGCATATTCTCATTTATAAGTGGGAGCTAAATAATGTGTGCACATGAACACAGAATTCAGAATAATAGACATTGGAGACTTGGAAAGGTGAGGTGGGAAGGGGTGAGGGATGAGAAATTACCTAATGGGTATAATGCACACTATCTGTGTGATGGTTACACTAAAAGCCCAGACTCAATCGCTACACAATATATTCATGTAACAAAACTGCACTTGTACCCCTAAATCTGTAAAAGTAGATATGAAAAGAAAAGAAATGGGAAAAACACAGAAACAGTAGGATATATGAGAGGCTGTTATTCCCTTAAAGACAGAGGGGAATCAGGGAATAGAGGAAGTTGATGAATTTAGAGTTGAAAACTCCAAGGAATAGAGCTGAATTTGGAATTGGAAAACTCAAAAAACTGCAGGAAGAGTTTGAAATCAACAGGAATTTCACCATACTGACTGGTAGAGAAGTAAGAATAGTGCAAAATGCCTGTTTGTTGTCTAACGAACAATCAGCCACACACTCAATTCTAAGTAAAAACCATAACCCTCATTCAACCCAGACTCTGAGATAGCATAGAGTCCTTAATTAAAATGAGCAATTCAAAGAATATTCCAGGAAAAAATATTTTAAAAAATATATACAAAACTGTACATTTTAATTCATCTTTAGGTATTAGAAAAAAATTTATTCTCATATTTTGAAATGTCTGCTAAACAAACATGTTATGTTTGTAAGCAGAAAACCAAAAAGTTAATTCAGTTTGATTTTTTTAATCTGTTAATTCTCCTCAAGTCTCTTCAGTAATTACTCCATAATAAAACATTAAAATATACTTAAAAGGTTTTAAAAGAAAACAGTATAATTTTAAGTATATCCCAGTTTTGTCAAGCCATGGGATAGCAGGAGGAAAACTTTCCACCATGAAAACATTAGTATGAGGGTGTCTCGCTTCTTCCTACTCTGTAACATATCAACTGAAGCTTGGGGAGCATGAATATCTACTGTTCCCCATCTCCAAAAGAGAAGAGAGAATTAAAAAAATAAGTCAGTATGCACCCAGAAGGATTAGAAATCAACTTTTAAAAACATCCAATGGAGAAAAGAGCAGCACTGGTATTCTAGAGAAATACTGCGGGACTTCTTGAAATGATTTTTAATAAAAGACTTTTTGACTCTCTGGGTTAATTGAAAGTTGCTAGTGATTACAGGATAAACAGCTATAAAAACCAGCCATTTAACTTTTTTAAAGAATCTGTGAACTAAGCTGTAAAGAATTTTACAAAAATAAACGTACCCGAAATATCGACCCTGTTCTCTAAAGACAGGACTGTGAGGAGGAGATGATCTGCTAAGATTTGCTGAAGACTTCAGAATGTTGGAATTTCCTACCTTCAGCTCCCTCCCTGCTTGAGCTCAACCTGAAGTAACGTAGAACATTGATTACAAATGTCACCCTTGTTACCCTCCACTCCTGAGCCATTTTCTCTTCCACCCTCCATCCCCTTTTCTAGCTCTCAGGCTATTCTGTCCTTTCATCGCAGTCCTTTCCCTCTATCACATGGGAGGGCAGGAAATTGCCACAAAGGGAGAGGCCCCTGAGAACCAATTACAGATTTACTGGAGAGCAGCCTGAAATGAGCAAGACATAGCAGGCCCCTAAGGAAATTGTATTTTTTCAAAGGCGGTTTCCTGAACTGTTGGCTTGACCATAAACGGAGCAGAAACCAAAAGAGCCAAATGGAGCCCACCTTTCCATCCCCTTGGGGACAAATGCTCTCCATTTCACCAAACATCTAAAGCCCCAATTCCTAGTCTCCATAACTCACCAGAAAATTCTGATTTCTCTGCAACATCCCTAAATTCCCCATTACCAACAGTGGTCCTCCCAGGAGCCTGCCCTCAACTTTCATTCTCCAATCTACAGCCTCCAAATCGCCCTCTTACCATCCCAGGCAATTGTTTCAATAGGTACCACCCTTAGTAGGGGTGTTTTATATAGATCATCAAAATCTTGCCAATGCTGAGCCTGATTTAAGGAGAAGGAAGGTGGCGTGATGTTACAAAATGACGTTGAAATGGTTATGTAGCGTTTCAATATCCTTCCTGACCAAATTACTGCCCAACAACTTTGTCTGCCACTACTCCCTTTTTTGAAGCTTCCACAGAAATCAGGCTGATATATTTATTTCTCATCCCTAGGAGTGTGTTGAAGGCACTTCTGTGTCATTTATCAAACTCAGACCCTAACTTCAGCTCCACTTTCTCCCTGACCAACCGAGAACACTTTTTCTCTGAACTACGTTGTCTACTATCTGTAGTTCACAGTAAATGCCACCCTATTTTTTCTTGGCAGCAGGAGGGGTTCTCTTAATCGTTTATTTTTTTCATCAAACAGCAGCATATGCTAAAAGGTAAGTATATGTGTCTTGAAAAGAAAACTTTTGGAAAAATGTAGCATTTTTTAGTTAGCCTACATTATTATGATTTTTAATTGACAAATTAAAATTGTATATATTTATGATGTATAACATGATGTTTTGACATATGTATACATCATGGAATGACAAAATCAAGCTAATTTACATGAACCATTACCTCACATACTTATCATGTTTTTGTGATGAGAACACTCAGATCTACTCTTTTAGCAATTTTCACATATACAATTCATTAATTATAGTCACCCTTTCATATAATAGATCTCTTGAATTATCTCTCTTGTCTAACTGTAATTTTTGTAACCTTTGACCAATATCTTCTCAATTTTCTCCCTTTCTTCCAGCCCCTGGTAACCACCATTCTATTCTCTGTTTCTGTGAGTTTGACTTTGTAGATTTCATGTAGAAGGGAGACCATGAGGTATTTGTCCTTCTGTGCCTGACTTATTTCAGTTAATATAAGGTCCTCCAGATTCATCCATGTTGTTGCAAACAACAGAATTTCCTTCTTCTTTAAGGCTGAATAGTATTCCACTATGCATATATACCACATTTTCTCTATCCATTCATCTGCTGAGGGATGCTTAGGTTTATTCCACATCTTGGCTATTGTGAATAATACTACAATGAATATGAAAGTGTAGATCTCTCTTCTTATTTCCTTTGAATATATACACAGACAAGGGATTGCTGGGTCATACAACGGTTCTATTTTTAATTTTTTCAGAATTTTTCAGAAACCTCCACAGTGTATTTAATGACTGTACTAATTTACGCTTCCACCAAAAGTGTATGAGTTCTCCTTTTCCACATTTTCATCAACATTTATCTCTTATCTTTTCTGTAGTAGGCATTCTAACAAGTGTGAGGTGATATCTTATTGTGAATTTAATTTGTATTTCCCTGATGACTAGTGATGTTGAGCATTTTTTCTTGTACCTGTTTGTCATTTGTACGTCTTCTTTTGAGAAATGTCTATTCAGGTGCTTAGCTCATTTTAAAATTGAGTTATTTGTTTCCTTGTTATTGATTTGTTTAAGTTCCTTATATAGCTTGAATTTTAGCCACTTACATGTATCATTTACAAATATTTTCTCTCAACCTGTGGGTTGTCTTTTCACTCTATTGTTTCCTTTGCTGCGGAGAAATGTTTTAATTTGATGCAATCCCATTTGTTTACTTTTGGTTTTGCTGTCTGTGATTTGAGGATCATATACAAGAAATCTTGCCCATACCAACGTCATGGAACTTTTCTCCTATATTTTCTTCTAATAGTTTTACAGTTTGCAGTCATATGTTTAAGTCATTAATCCATTTTGAGTTAATTCTCATATATTGAGTGTCATAAGGATCCAATTTCATTCTTCTGCATGTGGATATTCAGTTTTCCAACATCATTTATTAAAAAGACTTTTCTTTCACCGTTTCATGTTCTGTTTATATGATCATATGGTTTTATCTTTAATTCTGTTAATGTTATGTATCACATTTATTGATTTGTGTGTTGAACCATCCTTGCATCTCAGAGCTAAATCTCACTTGATCATGGTGAAAGATCCTTTTAGTATACTGTTAAATTTGGTTTGATAGAGAAACACAACTTCAGAGATAATTCAAGTTTAAGATGGGAAAGTCTGACTAATCTTAATTCTTACAGATATTTTAGCAAACTTTTTGTCAAAATACATTTTATGGACTTTTTAAGGTCATCAGTTCAGACCACAGTCCCATGGATAAAGACAAGGATCTGTGGGGAGTAGATGTTTGTATTGTTAATCACCCTGGTGAGAGGTTAATCCTGGGGTATAAATGAAGTCTCCAAAAGTAGGTGATATATTAGCATGAAAAATACATTTCTACCTTCCCTTGTGTCCTGGGGTCAATTTGGCCTAAACTGCAAGACGTGAAAAGATTATAAGTAGTTCCAAATGAAATGAAATATACCCTTGGCCACATAAATTACCTAGTGGAATTCAAGTGTGTGTGGATCAGTATAACAGCATATAATTCTCTGCACTACATTTACTTTCCACTAAGTTAGAACTACAGTAAATTATTCTATAAGCTACAACTTGATATATGTTGTACTAGGAGAATTCTAAGAGGGCCTGTGGCCTTGCTTAGAAAAAGCAGGTACAGGGGACAGTGGTTGCTGTTCCCACAGCCAGGGTGGAGAAAGCAATGTCAACCACTGCAAAGGATGACAAAATAAAAAGAGTCAGTCAGCTCTCACAGAGCAGCAGCTTGAAGGCACAGAAAAGACACAAGAGAGGAAGGACCAGAGGAGACATTCCTGAACACATCTTGCAAACTCTCAGAAGTGACTATGGGATGCTTCACGGGGGCTAACTTCAAGCTCAAGTTTGACAACCATTTATGTTGTTTGGCTTTGGTCACATATATATCCTATTTTGTATCAGTAATTCCAGTTGGAAAAGAAACCACACATTTCCATGAGTCTCCCATGTTACTAAAATATTTCATAAGCTCGAGCTCAGTGATGTTTTCTGATTATTTGTTCCTTAGACTCCAGCCTAGGCATCCAAGGCAATCTGAATCCATAGAAACTTTAATAACAGTACATCATGGACCTAACCCAAAATATTGTTCAATCTCTTATCTTTGAAAACTTCTTGAGGATTAACAATATATTTTAATACAAAAGAGATAGTATTCAACCCAGCAGGATTTTACAAAAACAAATTATAGCTCTTTGTGGTTTCTGTTAGAGATTTACATAGTCTTACCATTTAGATTTCTTCTTCACTAGACTACGAATTAGAAGTAAATATTATCCAGGGCAGATGGTGTATCCTATTCATCTTTGTATCCCAAGAATATTTTAGCTGTGTCATAAATGATTAGTGAATAAGTAGCAATGCATGAATGCATGAATGAAAAAATAAAAATGGTCACTTGATTCATAATCCCTGGCCTTCTAAAAATATATTAACACAATGTCCGGTTGAAAAGAAAGTTCCAAACATTCCACCAGTAGACATGACTAGCAATAGAGTTGACCTTCATTATTTGTGGATTCAGTATTTGCAAAGTCACCTGCTCCCTAACATCTATTTTTAACCCCTAGCTCAATACTCACAGCACCTTCGCAGTCGTTCATGGACAAGTGCATGAACACAGTGACAAAAAGTTTGAGACACACTGTATGCATCCCCACCTGATGCTGAGCAAGGAAACGCTCTGTCCTCTTGTTTCAGCTATTATACTGTAAACAAGTGTCCTTTTCATGATTTCCTGATTTGCTGAATGCCATATTTTTCACATTTTTTGTTTGTTTTTTGGTGATTTCATAATTCAAAATAGCCCCAAATGTAGCGCTGAAGTGCTGTCCCATGCTCCTGAGCACAAAAATGTTGCAATGGATCTTACGGAGAAAATGCATTTGCTAGATAAGCTCTGTTCAGGCATGTGTTATAGGGCTGTTGGCTGTGGGTTCAACGTTAATGATCAACGATATATATTATATAAGATGTGTTTAAACAGAAACACACTTACAATAAGGTTATTTATTGATCAGGTGACAAAAATGTGACCAAAAACTCATAGGAATCTAACCCTGCATCTCCCCTAAAGCAAGGAATTATTTAATATTTGCTCCTACAGGGTTCAAGGCAACTTTATAGAATGCAACTGCAGTGAATAATAAGAATCAGCTGTGTCTGCATTTTAAAGATGAGAAATATGAGTCTCATTAAAATGAAGTGAATTGTACAAAGTTATAGAATAGGTTAGTCATAGAGCCAGCATTAAAACCCTGGCCTAGTTCAGTGCTCTGTCAGCTGTATCTTCAGTTCTGAAAATGCAATAAGAAAAGATAAAATACGGAATTCAGTCGGCCAGTGGCCCGCAATCCTCTTCTCTCGGTTCCTCTTTCCTCGCTCAAGATGGCGCTGCTCGCGAAGCGTTCTTGGCGTTGGGCGGCCGCAGCGGCTGCTTTCGAAAAGCGCCAGCACAATGAGATACCATCTCACACCAGCTAGAATGCCGATCATTAAAAAGTCAGGAAACGACAGGTGCTGGAGAGGATGTGGAGAAATAGGAACACTTTTACGCTGTTGGTGGGACTGTAAACTAGTTCAACCATTGTGGAAGTCAGTGTGGCGATTCCTCAGGGATCTAGAACTAGAAATACCATTTGACCCAGCAATCCCATTACTGGGTATATACCCAAAGGATTATAAATCATGCTGCTATAAAGACACATGCACATGTATGTTTATTGTGGCACTATTCACAATAGCAAAGACTTGGAACCAACACAAATGTCCAACAATGATAGACTGGATTAAGAAAATGTGGCACATACACACCATGGAATACTATGCAGCCATTCTGCATCTTTCTAATGACAAGAATATTCTCCAGCATAACCACAATACTATTATTACACCCAAGGGAATTAACATTGAACCAATAATATAAAACCCATATTCAACTTTCCCACTTGTTCCAAATCTTTTTTATAGTTGTTTTTATTTTGTTTTGTTGATGACGTAGGATCCAGTCAAAAATCATGAATGACATTTTATTGCCATGGCTTTTGGTCTTCTTCAATCTGGAACGATGTCATCTCCCATCTTTGCTTTGTCTTTAAAGACATGGATATTTTTTAAGAGTTTGTGTCAGTTGTCTATAGAATATGCCACAATATGGATTTGTCTGACTGTTTTCTTATACTCCAATTAAACATTTTTAGCAATAATACTACATAGGTTACACTAAGAGTGGACAAATAGCAATCCAAATTATTCTACTCCATTCTGTTCCCTGTAACATTAATGGCATCATCTTCAGCCATAACAGGGCTACACTCTGGGAGTAGATGACTGATGAGCTGAGAGAAAACAGATTCCTGAGGAATTCTGGATCAGAGCAGCCATATTTCCCTGAACTACAAATCTTTAGACATTTAAGTGAGAGATAAATTTTCATTCTCTTTGAGCCATTGGCATTTCCATTACTTTCAGCCAAATCTAATAAATAAATGAAATGATAAAATATAAAGGAGTCAGAAGAAAACTAAGTACGAAATCCAGTTTATGTAAACCCTGAACTTCTAGTTATATAAATTAATAAGTAAATTTATTACTTAAACCCGTTGGAGTTGGGGCTTGTTATAATGGTTGGTATGTCTTGAAAACATTCTATTTGACACACAGCTTTTATCACATCTATGAAAATGTATAAAAACACAGAAGAAACAAATCAAATAATAGATACCAATGATAAAAATGCAAAGAAAGATTTGTATAATAAATGAAAAAGAAATCAAAGCAAGAAAAATTAGTGACAATTGTATAAGAAAATGACATTTAGCACCTCAATTAGGTCAAAACATGTTTATTTCTCTTTTATATTATTAGTTACCTGTAGAATCAATAAAACCTGCAAGGGACCCTATAAATAGTTATCAAATAAATTGATTACTGGATTATATCAATATACATAAGAAGGGTAAAATTGCATTATTACTTTTTGTAGATGTACTAGAACATCTACAGTGATGGGAAAAAATCATGAGAAAAAAGAAGAAAATTAAAATGGTTGAACCAGAGATATGGGAGAACTAAGAGAAACCAATAGCTCTGGATATATTCTTTGAAATGTTCTTAACAGGTCATTCTGTATTTCTTGCAATCTAAGAAACAGATTCAAAATAACAGATTAATTGGTTTTGTGAAGCATTCTCCCCATTGGAAAGCCAAGAATGCTTGGAGACTCAGATCCTCAGAGAGCTTAAAGAGAGACAACAAACCTAAGAGAGGCTTCCTCAAGAGGGATCCACTATGTAGATAAAAAAGAAGATAAGCAAGTCACAAATGCCATCTGCCTTCACTGGTTATTTCTCCAAATAGAAAATAGAAAGACACCTTTGAGATAATATCTTCTGGAAAACACTGAAAGAGCCCCCAGAGGAGAATGAACCAAGGGCTCTTCAACTGCAAAAGGATATCAGTGTGTGGACTTGTATTTCTAATACACAACCTTGAATATGGCTGGAATATTGAATTTGTGTATATATTCAAGTGTATCTTTGGGTGTTTATAGTTTTATGTTCAGTGTATTTAGACTTTTACTGTTATCTGTAATAATGCCAATAGAATACATGATTTGCAACTTTAGATAAATCTGGCATCTGGGAATATTAGGCTATTCTTCTGTGCCTGTATTTTGAAATATAATTTGACAGTGTGTGAATTTGTGGAGTTTATGTGTGTAGTTTGGGGATTTTCATGTTTACAATGTAAGAGGACTAAGTTTGAAAGTCTGTAAGATGCAGAAATAAGCAATTAAGGAAGTTCTTGTCATCTTTTGCCTGAGCATGTTTTAAAACTAGAGAAATGCTCACCCCTCTAAATAGTTGAACTGTTTAATGCTATAGGAGCTTAAAAAGAGAGGATCTTTCTCATTTTTTTTCTCCTCCTTGAACACTGTGAAATTTATGGTAAAATGACAGAAAAAGAAGAAAGACTAAGTGAATCTGGTAACTAAAGAAAGAGCTGGAAAAAAGAAAACTAGAGGGCAAGAGGTGATAAGAGAGGTCACCTCTTATCAGACAGGAGACAAGTTGATGGAGAAAAAGATCTGCTATGAGGGAAAATTCTGTCTCCAGCCCTGCAGGAAGAATTGGAAAATCAGAAAAGAGTGAAAAGGGAGCTAGACTGACTTAATCTTCAGCCCAGGTAAAACTGGAAAGACAGTTTAACATGTTCTTTAGAATGATAGGCACTATCAGGAAGAGATGAAGTCAGGGATTCAGGCTCAGAGAGACAAATACTCATCCAGGATCCCAAGAGTGAGCAAGGGTGGAATATGGACTCCAGGCAAGGCTGCCTAATTTCAAAGTCCATGATATTCTAATAGAAAGGGAGATCTAGTGCTGCGATCAGATGCAGAGAGAGGTCATCTTTGCCCATTTCACGATTCCATAGTTGTGATTTTTCCTTGCCATTTCTTTTGTCTTCCAGTCAAAGGTATGCAGGCAGGATGAGTGCAAACACCTCCATGGTGACTGAGTTTCTTCTTCTCGGCTTCTCCCACCTGGCCGACCTCCAGGGCTTGCTCTTCTCTGTCTTTCTCACTATCTACCTGCTGACCGTGGCAGGCAATTTCCTCATTGTGGTGCTGGTCTCCACTGATGCTGCCCTCCAGTCCCCTATGTACTTCTTCCTGCGCACCCTCTCGGCCTTGGAGATTGGCTATACGTCTGTCACGGTCCCCCTGCTACTTCACCACCTCCTTACTGGCCGGCGCCACATCTCTCGCTCTGGATGTGCTCTCCAGATGTTCTTCTTCCTCTTCTTTGGCGCCACGGAGTGCTGCCTCCTGGCAGCCATGGCCTATGACCGCTATGCAGCCATCTGTGAACCCCTCCGCTACCCACTGCTGCTGAGCCACCGGGTGTGTCTACAGCTAGCTGGGTCGGCGTGGGCCTGTGGGGTGCTGGTGGGGCTGGGCCACACCCCTTTCATCTTCTCTTTGCCCTTCTGCGGCCCCAATACCATCCCGCAGTTCTTCTGTGAGATCCAGCCTGTCCTGCAGCTGGTATGTGGAGACACCTCGCTTAATGAACTGCAGATTATCCTGGCAACAGCCCTCCTCATCCTCTGCCCCTTTGGCCTCATCCTGGGCTCCTACGGGCGTATCCTCGTTACCATCTTCCGGATCCCATCTGTTGCGGGCCGCCGCAAGGCCTTCTCCACCTGCTCCTCCCACCTGATCATGGTCTCCCTCTTCTATGGCACCGCACTCTTTATCTATATTCGCCCTAAGGCCAGCTACGATCCGGCCACTGACCCTCTGGTGTCCCTCTTCTATGCTGTGGTCACCCCCATCCTCAACCCCATCATCTACAGCCTGCGGAACACAGAGGTCAAAGCTGCCCTAAAGAGAACCATCCAGAAAACGGTGCCTATGGAGATTTGAAAAGGGGGCGATAGTGACTTCTGTGCAGTGCTCTGAGTCAGTCCCAAATACCTAAGGATCAAAGAGTCTCCCTTAAGGTCTTTCTTCACATTAGGGGAGGGCCAGCCTGTCAGAAAGACAAACTTATCTTTGAAAAGCTACCGTAGTCAAATGCGCTCCTCAGACCCTCACAACACATACATATTCTATTCCGCTTTCTGTTGCAAGAAACAAGAAACCCAGGATGGAGGATCAATTTCAGAAGCAGAGCAAGTTGACAACCAGGGATAAAGTTACAAAATATTATCCTTATCAGACTAGCAAGGTAATAAAATTTTCAGCCACAACAATGATCCTTAAAGTCATTTGACATTTGTACGTCCTAGGTAAGGCATTTGTTTCTTGGGTGGTACTACTGGTTAGTACCTTAGCAAACATAATTATACCTAATTAAATCTACTACCAGCTAAAGACAGATTCCTCAAGAAGTAAGGAGTGGCCACAAAAGTTTCAATGAAGGTAAGTTCTTATGGAAATTCATATGCCGCAGAGGTTAAGAGAACAGATTCTGATGTCAGACAGACTTAAAGTCAAGTCTTATTTTTTCCAGCTAGTTAGCTAAGTGATCACAGGTGAATGATATAATCTCTCTGAGCCTTAATTTTTTTAAATTTTATTTTAGATTCAAGGGTACATGTGCAGGTTTGTTATATAGGTAAATTTCACCTCACAGTGATTATTTAGTCACCCAGGTAATAAGCATAGTACCTGATAAGCAGTTTATTGATCCTCACCCTTCTTCTATCCTCCACCCTCAATTATGTCCTGGTATCTGTTGTTCCTTTCTTTGTGTTCATGTGTACTCAGTGTTAGGTCCCACTTTTAAGTGAGAATATATGGTATTTGGTTTTCTGTTCCTGTGTTAGTTTGCTTAGAATAATGACCTCCAGTTCCATCCATGTTGCTGCAAAGGACATAATCTGTTTGTTTTTTGTTTTGTTCTGTTTTGTTTTTATGTGAGCCTTAATTTTCTTATCTATAAAGTTGCGGTAACAACAGAGTCTAATTCATTGGGTTTTTGTGAGGATTTGTAGACTTGCAAACAATCAAGCTTAATATCTGGCACAAAATAGTATCTTGATAGATGTTTTTGTTAGCAAGTCAGACAGGTCAGCGCAAAGGCTAATGTTTGGCTCACATGGGGTGACTTTGCTGGGAAGAGAAGGGTATTCTTGAAATATCAGTGGCATTGGAACCCACAAGAGACCCAGAGGAAGGTGGAAGAAGAGGCTCTATACATCACTGTTAACAGAAACTGCTACCCAGCACAGATATGAGCCAAAAACTACCAAGACACGGAAGAGCAAATATAAGGGCTATGATATGCAGGAGAGTCAGTGAACTGCAGAACAAATAAGTGGAATAAGCTGAGAGGGTGAATCAAAAACAGCCATCTCCAAGAGGCAAGTATTTATTAATAATTAAAAGTGCAATCTACATACTTTATATCATTCCAACACTTTATTCAAATGCAACAGTATTTATTGCAAACTTTCTATGTGCCTATTGCTCTTTGGCACTGTGGAGAATATCAAGTACATACAGGGTGGTGATTCTGTCCAGAGAGCACTTGCTGTCCTGTTAAGAAAGCACTGATTCTCATGAAACTATCAGAGAACAGTTTGCAAAGTAAGAAAACACTCAAAATGTAAAGCGAAAAGACAAAGGTGTTACTCCCTGTCCCCACCCCCCAAAAGGGGTTGTGTGGCCTTCCTCAAACTCATTTTATCAATGTGGAAAACCTCACAACTACTGCTCTTCAATTGAACAAAACTGCAATAGCGAGGAACAGCATTTAAGAAGGGTTGCCTAAAGGATTGTCAAAACAGCTTTTCCTCTGATAATTTAAAATCTAAATCTTATCCCCAAGCTAAAGCAGATGAGCACAGAGCTACACATTTAAAATGCTGAAATATTTCCACTTCCTACATATCTCCATCAACTCATCTTTCCTAGAACTGGTCTTGCTAAAGAGTGTTTTGGCATTAAGCCATTGGTTTACATTGAGAAAGATTACAAGAAGCAACATTATGAAACTCTCAGAGGGATCATTTTTCTCATATCTCAGTGATAGGAATCACTGTATTTTTCCTGTCATATAAGCAATAACATTTCCTCACAGTTTTATGGAAGTACAATTGGCATATGACAAATTGTACATGTTTAAGTGTGCAATTTGATAAGTTTTGACCCATGTATGCACCATGACATTATAGGCGCAATCACGAAATGAACATATCCAGCCCCCGTGCTCCCTCACACTCCATTGTAATCTCTCTCTTTCACCCCTCCCTGCACTCCTCATTCCCAAGCAACCTCTGATCTGCTTCCCAGCACTATATTTTTCTTTTTTCAGAGTTTTATATAAATGAAATTATAAAATATGTACTCTTTTTAGTCTGACTTATATTTGGAGATTTGGCCATGTTGTGGTGTGTACAGCAGCCATTCCTTTTCATTTCTGAGTGATACTCCATTGTATAGATATGACATAATTTGTTCATCCATTCACCTGCTGAAGGAAATTTGGGTTGTTTTCACAATTTTTTATTTATTCACCTGCTAAAGGAAGTTCAGGTTGTTTCCAGTTTTTGGTTCATAGAATGAAGGTTCTATGAACATTTGTGTACAAAGTCTTTGTATGCTTTCATTTCTCTGGGGTAAATACATAGATGTGAAATGGCTGCATCACATGGGAAGTGTATGTTTAATTTTTTAAGAAATTAAGTAATCACTTTTCCTCTTAACATGACAGCTAGCAAGTTTCCACCTGAATTTGTAACTCATCTCCAGGAAATGTGCAATTCCTCACGATATATTTTTGAGATATCTAGTTTCTGGTCTCACTTGCTGTTGTTGTTGTTGTTCTATTCTACCTTTTTCTTTGTCCAGTCTCTCTCATCCTTATTTTCTGTACATTTATGTAACCCAGCACATTAGTCTTTCTGGAGCAAGACTTAGAGCCACCAATCAGTAATTAAAAAAAAAAAAATAGACAGGGGAAAGTATTGAATGGAAAATCCCTGGTTATATGGTTTGGCTCTATGTCCCCACCCAAATCTCATCTTGTAGCTCCCATAATTCCCATGTGTTGTGGGAGGGACCTGGTGAGAGATGATTGAATTATGGGGGTGGATGTTTCCTGTGCTGTTCTTGTGATAGTGAATGGGTCTCACATGATCTGATGGTTTTAGAAATGGGAGCTGCCCTACACAAGCTCTCATTTTTCCTGCTACTATCCATGTAAGATGTGATTTGCTCCTCCTTGCCTTCCACCATGATTGTGAGGCCTCCCCAGTCATGTGGAACTGTAAGTCCAATAAACCTCTTTGTTTTGTAAATTGCCCAGCCTTGGGTAAGTCTTTATCAGCAGTGTGAAAACAGACTAATACACCTTGGTAAAGATTGAAGACATGGGTTGTGATCTCTACTCCGTTACTAAAACTTTACAGGACCTAGAGCAAACTCTTTGCATCATCTTTTTGGTTTTCAATTTCATCATCAATAAACATAAAGGCTAAATCAAATGAGCTCTGGATTGAGTTCCAGATCCACTATTCTGTGCTTATTTGTCCCAAGGACTATATGCTTCTTATAGCTGATACTCTCACAAAGAACCAGAAGGAAGATTGCAGCAAATGCTCTTTCTCCACCATAGATAGCTACCAAGGGACCTTGAACTACATTAATCCTGGGCAATATAAGCACAGTCATTGGTTTTCAAGACAAACACCACTCAAAAGCTAGGGAGAGTCCATCAGTGATCCCCATATTGAGTCTTCCCCCACTGTATTCTACCTTCCTGAACCTCACATCTCCCTTACTCACACCTGCCATTGCCCCTGAGCAAAACTTGACCTGCTTCTTGAAATCCCACTGCTCTGTCCCTAATATTTCCTCCTACCAACCTTTCTCCCTGACACTCCCTTCCTCAACTTCCCTAATCCCATGGGACCCACTCACTATAGTGCACCCCAGCTCCTGATGGTATCTGCTACCAGAAGTATCCTCATTCTTTCTTTCTTTTTTTTTGACAGGATTTTACTCTTGTTGCCCAGGCTAGAGTGCAGTGGCACGATCTTGGCTCACTGCAACCTCTGCCTTCTGGTTTCAAGCGATTCTCCTGCCTCAGCCTCCTGAGTAGCTGGGATTACAGGAGCCTACCACCATGCCCAGCTAATTTATGTATTTTTAGTAGAGACGGGGTTTCACCATGTTGGCCAGGCTGGTCTCGAACTTCTGACCTCATGATCCACCTGCCTTGGCCTCCCAAAGAGCTGGGATTACAGGCGTGAGCCACTGTGCCCAGCCAGTATCCTCATTCTTTAGCTTTGCAGAACTGAAGTAAGAAGTGACTGTGGCATCAGGGAGGGAGGGTAGAAGTCAGATGGAAGGGAAGGGAGAAGGAGAGAAAGAAGAAACAGAGGCAGGCTGAAGAACTGAGCAGAGAAAAGAGAAAGAACAAAAAAGACCTCAGAGGAAGACTCACCGGCTCACAAGGAAAGCCATCTCTGTGCATCCCAGGCCAATCTCTTCACAGGGCTTGGAGAAACCTCCCAACCAGAGCTCACTCCCACAGTCTATGCTCACTGCTTCCCTGCATCAGCTCCTCCTGTGGCAGCATGGTCCCCCTGCGTTTCTGCTCCCCACTGAGCTCTCTGGGATTCACAAATCAGTGCCCTAGGGAGGGCTTGGAGAGCCTAGCACGTGGGGATCTTACACAGGGGCCAGGAAAGGGATGTAGGACTCAGGAAGAGACACTGAACAAAGGCTGTGGCTCAGTCCTGGAAATGGGAGCGTGTGCTTGTCCATTGCCAGCCTCTCTGCCTCTCTAGGTTGTGTGCCCTCACTGGCCTTAACTCTTTCCAGTCAGGGAAGACTAGGAAAGAGTTGGAAGAGGAAATATTGTAGAAGAAAGAAGAGAACTCAGGTACATCAGGGCCACCAAGAAACAGGGGCTCTGGGTCTCCCAGGGACATAAGGAGAAGGATTAGGAGCTGACCAGGCTTGCTACACAAAAGATTCCAGGGTTGATCCTCTGAGAGTTGAGAAAAACAGAAAGTGGGATCTCAGTGCAAACTTCAAGCTTCAAAGATGCCACCCATCATCTATTCAACTTTTTTTTTCTTTTGGCTAACCCTTTACACTTCTTTCAAGTCTGCGAATAATTATCAAGTTCCCACAGTGTGCCTTATTCTACATAGTGCTGGCAATCTGGTCAACTTCCTTTGTATTTCTCCTCTGCTCAGCTTTTCAGTGGATCCTCTTCATTCTCCTTCATTCTCACTGCAGCCCAGACCCACTTCCTCCCTTCCCTGAGCTTCCCTTGCCTATCTCCCTCCTCATCACCCAATCCCATTTCCTGCAAGAAGAGGCAATATTATTAATCTGTCTCATCTACCATAACCACCACCTGGTTTGTGCAATAGCATTTTCTGGATGTTTCCTCTCCTGGCAGCCAGGACTGACAATGTCACCTGCCAGGGGCCTGGAAAGCCAAGCCACAACCTTCTTAACCAATTAGAGGCACTGCAGAGAAGCAGCAGGAGTCAGGGCACTTGCACCCAAGAATGATAGATATATTTATTCACCACATATGTATGGATATAGTTAGAGAAACAAGCCTCAAGGCACAACGATTGACTGAGGTTAGACATTCGGCCACTTGAGAGAATGAGGAGGTGGAAGCACAGAAGTTAAAAGTCATCTCTCTCCCATTTGCTTCAACCTCAGCATGCCTGAAAAAAACATGGTTGATAATATACCAGTCAGTGACCAAGCCCTAATGAAATGACTGACTTACCAATACTGACTTCTCAGGAGGCTGATTTAGAGCCAAAGTAACTGCTGAGTTCTGAATAAGCAGCACACCTGGTCTGCATAATAAGATCCATTTTGCAATCACCCTCTTCAGAAAGCCAAATAATAGGTCAAAAGGTGGTTTAGAACCCAAGCAGCGGAAATAACACAGTTGAGGACTCTGTCGACCATAGGCACCCTGATGGACCTAAATAAATTACTCAACTTTTCACGAGAATATTTTACCTAATAACTGGAACTTATCATCCAGAACAATGTTTTCTGCCTCTTTGTTTTTCAGTTCATGATATTCCTGTGGACTGGCTTTACTCCTAATTTCCGACCCCAATAAGATCCTGGTCTAGTTCTTGGTATCTAGACCTAATTCCCCATTTGCATAAAAGAATACAAATGATAAACATAGAAACCCTGACCATCCTTGACTCCAAGGGTAAAAATACTGCCCTAGGCAATCATGATGCCTCTTATTTACTGCCTTTCAAATAGAAACTTTCTAAAGCAGCCATTGGGAAATAGTTCATTTTTGCAATGGACCACAGATACCTATACACATTGGGCTTATCATTTTGATCTTTATTCAGCTCCTAAAAATAGTCAATTTGAAAAATGGGGTTTGCATTGACAGTTTTATATTATTGATGCCAATTTGGAATTTTATACTTGATAATATTTATTTGTTGAATGAATTTGAACGAGTGGTAGAAGACTCTTCTGGCTGGAGCACTTTTAAGTCTTGCACTAGCATGGGTCTGGAAATGAACTGAAGGAGGACTAGAGATAAGTACAGGGGTGCGTCCCAATTGTGAATGAGAATGCAGGCCATATACTCTTTGGAGAATCACCATTATGGGCCCTCTGGCAGTATAAATGAGGCCATTGTAGAGTTATTCTTCTGTATTATCCAAAGAGAGGACCTAAAACAAATTAGTGAAATAAATACTGTAGGATTTCTGCTAGATGATGAGGCTTTTAATTCTTCCTGTTTCTGGGATGGCCTGGCTGGGCCTCCTTAGGAACTCAGCTCATTCCCCATTCCTCCTTGACACTGGATATGCATTCTTTGCATTCCTTGGCTTTCTCTCTGGTGTTCTATAGAAAGTAAATGAGTCACAGTTCCTTCAGTTCTTTCTTTTAGCCAGTCTATAGCACTCTACTGGTCATCAAAAAAGATCCAAAAGTGATCAACATGACCCTTTCTTTTTTTTTTTTTTTTTTTTTTTTGAGAAGGAGTCTAGCTCTGTCGCCCAGGCTGGAGTACAGTGGTGTGATCTCGGCTCACTGCAACCTCCGCCTCCTGGGTTCAAGCGATTCTCCTGCCTCAGCCTCCCAAGTAGTTGGAACTACAGGTGTGCGCCACCACACCCAGCTAATTTTTGTATTTTTAGTAAAGATGGGGTTTCACCAAGTTGGCCAGGATGGTCTCGATCTCTTGACCTCATGATCTGCCCACCTCGGCCTCCCAAAGTGCTGGGATTACAGGCGTGAGCCACCACACCCAGCCACACGACCCTTTCTAAGGAAGTGAAGATGGCACATGGAGACCAAGTACAGAAAGGACTACTGGGGGTCTTGGATGGCCCTCCAATGCTGTTGTCTCTCCAGTTCCTCTTGGATAATTCTGGTGTCCATGAATTATTATGTTGCCACATTTGGATGCCCCATAAGGGTCACTTGAGAAAATCATGAAATCTGGGAAAGGAAGGGCAAGTCATAGAATCCTGCCACTATAGAATAATGTCTGACAACCAAGTGATACATTCTGTTTAAGTAGGCACCAAACTGTCGGCAAAAGCCCCATTTTCGAGTTGGCCAGTTCTGGCAATTTTCTGTGTCCATTCTGCATGCCACTCAACTCCTCTAATGAATTCTTATTCCTTTTCAAGCCTTCTGTATTCCTTCTTATCATACTGGACACTTTGACCTCTGGTGTCCTAGAACTCCTGCTTCCCATGACTTCCATCTCCAATTCCAATAAACACCTTCTTTTTAAAAATTTCCTGATATTACCCAGTAGCTCTCATCCCTATTTCCCTTTGAAGTACTCATGTTTTTTATGATCCCTTCTCCCAACACTTTTCTTGCCTTCAATGTATTTTTAATGACTGGTGACCTCTTACCTCTCCTTCTTTTACTTTAACCTCTAACTTCTCCTAATCAATATGCCTTAAAACTCTTTCAGTGAAGGCAAAATGATGAAGAAAGTAGAAATATCAGTGGTTTCCAGAGGTTACAGCAGGAGTATGGGGTCAGAGAAGGAATGATGAATAGAAAGCACAGAGAACCTTGGGGCAGTCACACTATTCTGTATGTACTAGGATTCACTTGTCCAAACACATAGAATATATAGTACCAAGAGTGAGTCCTGAAGTAAACAATGGACGTTGGGTGATAATGATATGTCAGTGTAAGTTTATCAGTTATAACAAATTACCACTCTAATATGGGATGTTGTTAGTAGGAGAGTCCACCTAGGGAGGAAGGGCAGGAGGTATACAGAAAACCTCTCTACTCTCTGTTCAGTTTTACTATTTAAAGAAAAGGAAAGAAGAAGAAAACTTCAAATACCTCCCTATAATCCTATACTAAATGATACTCTAGCTATCTTGCCCCCTCTTAATTACCAGAAGTTTCTAATCTCTACATATGTTAAGTACTCAAAAAATATTTCAAAAAATCAAATATCAAAAATAAATTACTCAAGCTACGTCTCACAAAAAAGTATCTTTCTTTCCCAGTTATGATTTTTCTTCCTTCTTCTGATATCCTCACAACTGAACATTTCCTTCGAATACACCCACCCACCCATAAATGACCAATCTTTCTCTTTTTTTTGTTGTTTTGGAGATGGAGTCTCGCTCTGACTCCCAGGCTGGAGTTCAGTGGCATGATCTCGGCTCAATGCAACCTCCACCTCCCAGGTTTAAGCAATTCTCCTGCCTCAGCCTCCAGAGTAGCTGGGACTACAGGCATGCACCACCACGTCCAGCCAATTTTTGTATCTTTAGTAGAGATGGGGTTTTTCCATGTTGGCCAGGCTGGTCTTGAACTCCTGACCTCAGGTGATCTGCCTGCCTCAGCCTCCCAAAGTGCTAGTATTACAAGCCTGAGTCACCGTGCCCGGCCCAAATGACCATCTTTCTTACCACTCATCCACAAAGCTCACAAAACGAGAAGCTGCTCAAAACACTGAGATGCCCCTCTAGGCTGGTAACAGCGTGACTTAGAATAAGTCCTCCAACTTTTCTAGCTTTCTCACCGAAAAATGGGCCTGTGGCAGCACAGTTTTATGAGTAACTAAGATATGGGATGTAGAAAGACCCTAGAAGAGGAAAAAAAACACAACAATGGTCATTGTTAAAACAGGGGACTACATTTGTCCTTGGTTCCACCACTGTCCCACAGCCCCAGCTGGTAGTTTGGCTTCTCCCATGCAGCCTCCCTCTTAGGCCCAACCATAGTATCAAAACTCTCAACAGCTATCCCAGACCTGCTGGGTCATCCCTCACAACAGAAACTCAGTGTTTGGGTAGAGTGGAGAGGCTTGTAGTGATCTTAACTTTCCTGAGAATGCTCAGCCTAATTATGTCCCGGGTATAGAATCCAACCTCATCCTTGAAAAACTGAAAGCTGTCCACAGCTATAATCCTAAAATATTTTATTGGAATCTTAAAAGCAGACATATGTTCATTACAACATCCACTGCTCTGTTAAGTACTCCATCTGGCATGGCACAGAATATGGCAACAATGTCCAAGCTGAGAGACAAATCAACAGTGCAATTACATTCACAATAGCCACACACACACACACAATACCTAGGAAAGCAGCTAGACAGAGAGATGAAAGACCTCTACAACAAGCAAGCATTACAAAACACTGCTGAAGGAAATCAGAGACAACACACACAAAAAATGGAAAAAACATTCCATGTTCATGAATAGGAAGAATCCGTATTATCCAAATGGTTATATGACCCAAAGTAACTTACAGATTCAATGCTATTCCTATTAAACTACCCATGACATTTTTCACAGAACTAGAAACAACTATTCTAAAATTCATATGTAACCAAAAAAGAGCACAAATAGCCAAAGCAATCCTAAGCAAAAAGAACAAAGCTGAGGACATCACATTATCCAACTTCAAGCTATACTACAAGGTTACAGTAACCAAAATAGCATGGTACTGTTACAAACACAGATACATAGACCAATGGAACAGACCAGAGAACCCAGAAATAATGCCGCACACCTACAACCATCTTATCTTCAACAAAGTCAACAAAAATAAGCACTCACTATTCAATAAATGGTGCTGGGCTAACTGGCTAGCCGTATTAGGAAGATTGAAACTGGACCCTTTCCTTTCACCATATGCAAAAGTCAACTCGAAGTAAATTAAAGATTTAAAAGTAAAACCTAAAACTATAAAAACCTTGGGAGAAAATCCAGCAAATACCATTCTGTACATACAAATGGGTGAAGATTTCATGATAAAGTTGTCAAAAGTAATGGAAACAAAAACAGAAATAGACAAGTGGAACTTAATTAAACTAAAGAGCTTCTGCACAGCCAAAGAAACCATCAAGACAGTAAATAAACAGCCTACAGTATGGGAGAAAATGTTTGCAAACTATGCATCTGACAAAAGTCTAATATCCAGAGCTTATAAGGAACTTAAAGAGAAAAAAAATTTTTTTTAAATGGGCAAAGGACATGAACAGACACGTCTCAAAAGAAGACATACATGTAGCCAAGAAGCACATGAAAAAAATGCCCAATATCACTATTCATTAGAGAAATGCAAGTGAAAACCACAGTGAGATACCATCTCATATCAGTCAGAATGACTCAAAAAATAACAGATGCTGGAAGCATCGTGGAGAAAAAAGGAATGCTTACACACTGCTGCTGAGAATGTATGTTAGCTCATACATGCTGCTGAGAATGTATGTTGAAAGTGGTTTGGAGATTTCTCAAAGAACTTAAAACTGAACTGCCATTTGACCCAGCAATCTCATTACTGGAAATATACACGAAGGAATATAAATTATTCTACCATAAAGAGTCATGTATGTGTATGTGTTCACAATAGCAAAGACATGGAATCAACCTAAATACCTATCAACAGTGGACTGGAGAAGAAAAATGCATGGTACTTATATACCATGGAATACTATACACCCATGAAAAATGAAATCATGGCCTTTGCAGCAACATGGATCCTGATGGAGACCATTATCCTAAACAAATTAAAGCAGGATTGGAAAACCAAATGCTGCATGTTCTCACTTGTAAGTGGGAGCAAAACATTGAATACACATGACCACAAAGAAAGTAACAATAGACACCAGGGCCTACTTGAGTTGGAAGAATGGCAGGATGGTGAGGGTCAAAAAACTACCTATTGGTTACTGTGCTCACTACCTAGGTGACAAAATCATTTGTACACCAAACCCCAATGACACGCAATTTACCCGTGTAACAAACCTGCACCTGTGCCCCTTGAAACTAAAATAAAAATTAGGGGAAAAAAAGGAGAAGAGAGATAAAAGGGCAAACAAAAAAATTGTTCAAAAAATGTTGGCAAAATTTTTTCAAATTCGATAAAAATAGCAATCCACATTATCAATACCACATCTACATACATCATAAACTGAGAAAAACAAAGATTTAAAAAGAAAAATCTGAAAACCCGCTGAAGTGGTAGAGACATATTGCATAATAAGGAATAACAATAAAAATGACTGCCAACATCTCAACAGAAACAAAGGGAGTCAGAAGGCTATGAATTATCTTTCAAATGTGAAGAGAAAAAAAATCTGCCAACTTAGAATTACCCAGTGGGGGAAAATAATCTTTCTTAAATGAAGGCAAAATAAAGCCATCTGAAATTAAAAAGAAGCTGAGAAAATTTGTTGCCAGAAGATACTCACTAAAAGAATAAAAAAGGATAAAGGAAGTTTTTCAGGCTATAGAGAAATTATAATATTTGGAGTTTCAAATCTATGAGAAGGAACGAAAAACTTTCAAGATTGGAAACATAAAAGTGTATATAAAAGTTATCTTCTTCCTTTTCTTAAATTCATTAAAAGTCTAAAAATAATGATAATATATTACAAGGGTTGTAACATATGTAAAGTAAAACACGGCAATAGCTGCACAAAGAATGGGAGGAATTATAACTAATTTTATTATTATCAGATTTTTATATTCTATGTTAAAGGTATTGTATTAAGTCAGAGTAGACTCTTATAAGTTCAGGATCCATATGGTATCCCCAAGAAAAAAACTTGCACTTTAAATATAAAGACAGCTTAATCATAAATACACTTATAGATTAAAAATAAAATTATAATATAAATTATGAAATAAATAATAAATATAAATTAATATATATACATTAAAAATAAAATTCACCAGATATGGTGAATTAAAGAGGACAGCAAATCCTTCCTTCCTCCACCTCACAAATAAATTATAAAACCAGAAAAATTGTCAAAAACAATCATTTCAGGTGTCTGGAAATAAACCAAGGCAAATAATAAATTGAGAACCACTTTTTCATAAAGCAGTGCTAGAAGCTTAGGTAAGAATCATAGGTAACTGTGCCTGTCCTGTGAAAAGTGCTCCAGTACTACTCCAACTTAGTTGATGGTAGTTTTGCCAGTCAGGAATGGCCATGAAAATCAACAATTACACTATTAAAGAGGGTTGAGATGATTTGGAACAAAGATAAAAACTCATGCCTAGGGTTTATGTCAGTAAAAGTAACAAACTCAATCGTGTTTAAGGCTCAGGTATCCAGAGGTTACAGTTTTAATGAGGCGAACAGTGAACCTATCAGAAATGTAATGGGAAGATGCTGGGAATTAGATAGCTATAGAAGAATTAGATAAGATCTCTACACATTCCTGGCTGACTGGGAAACTACAGGTATGTACAGAAGAAACATGAGAGAAACCAGCATGAAGTAAAATCCAAGACAAACTTAAAAGCTCTCTGAATTTGAATATGGTCCCAGCACAAAGGCAGATGCATTAGCAGAGAATGGAAGCCTTTTGAAATCAAAAGTATTTGACCAAAACCTTCACCCAATCATTGACTGAACACTAAGCTGTGCAAGA